>NC_000005.10:21822972-22126002 GCF_000001405.40 Homo sapiens | reverse complement strand
CCAAAATGAATGAAATACACAATAGATTTAAAAAAAAAAAAACAATGAAAGTGAAATGAGGAAAAGGTCTAATTTTCCCCTTAAATTTCACAATGTGTCAGCCAGACAGAGCATAATTTTGGAATAAACAAAAAGCGAGGGAGTCAATACAGGGTTTCTCCTTCTATCAGATATCTTGCTTTGGCAGAAAGTAAGAAGAACATCTCAAAAACCTCAATGGTGTTCTTAAACTGAGGGTGGAGACAGGGCGTGCAGGCTACTTGAGGAAACACTGGGATGTGTACATGGAACTCACTTGCTCAATATGAATCCATGGCAACCTCAGGTCTAGGCCAGAAGTCCTATGGAGTATTTACTTGCAGAGGTTGGTGGTAGAAGTGCAGTCTAAGATGAGCCATTGACTCAGCTGGAACTAACTAAAACCAGCAGAGACGGCTAAGCCGCTAAAGAAACAAAACTCAACAAAAAATATGGTTGTCCAAATGCCCATCAATGATAGACTGGATAAAGAAAATGTGGCACATATATACCATGGAATACTATGCAGCCATTAAAAAGAAAGAATTAATGTCTTTTGCAGGGACATGAATGAAGCTGGAAACCATCATTCTCAGCAAACTAACACAGAAACAGAAAACCAAACAGCACATGTTCTCACTCATAAGTGGGAGCTGAACAGTGAGAACAAATGGACACAGGGAGGGGAACATCATACACCGAGGCCTGTCGGGGAGTGGGGGACAAGGGGAGGGAGAGCATTAGGACAAATACCTAATGCATGTGGATCTTAAAACCTAGATGACAGGTTGATAGGTACAGCAAACCACCATGGTACATGTATACCTATGTGACACACCTGCATGTTTAGCACATGTATCCCAGAATTTAAAGTTAAAAAAAAAAATGGTTGTATCAAACCCCGAATCTTGAAAATATAAAAACTTAAAAAAAAGTAACCCACTCCCCTTGAAGCAAGGACAGGTGCACCTTACACAGGAACAGACATCCTCTGAAATGCAATTATTTTGCCTTTTGTTTGTTTGTTTGCTTTGTTTTTCTACTATTTCTTTTTAATTGAAAGAGTAATAATGCAGTAATAGAATTATAACTGGTGGCATCACAGGGCTGCATATTAGTAACCTTAGCTGAAGAGCTGTATAAATATCTCATGCACATGTTCTGAAAGAAGCAGAGCTTTATGGCCCAGAGTGATAAGGAGGAAAAAATAAAAAATGCCTCCATACATTCAAAGATCCTCACCCATGTGAAGATCAGATCCAGGGAAAGATAAATTTAAGAAGATTAATAGAGTATGGGATCCATACATTAACTGAAATAAATTAATAAATAAATGTAAGTAAAGGAAGAAGGAAAGCAACATAAAGAGGAAAAAGGCACTGAAGGACCTGCTTCCAAAGACCACATGCCATCATTTTTGCTCCTGATTATGTGCAATAAAATGTGTAACTCATGAAAAAAGGAAGTTAGAGGTTAAAACAACAACAACAAACAGTAGGATGAGATGGCAAGGGCATGCACAGACCTCAGGAAGTAAGCTGGTTTTGAAAAAAATAAGCAAGGCCGGGCATGGTGGCTCACGCCTGTAATCCCAGCACTTTGGGAGGCCGAGTCGTGCGGATCACTGAGATCAGCACTTTGAGACCATCCTGGCTAACACGCTGAAACCGTGTTTCCACTAAAAATACAAAAAATTGGCTGGGCGTGGTGGCCCACGCATGTGATCCCAGCTACCCGAGAGGCTGAGATTGCAGTGAGCCAAGATCCTGCCACTGCACTGCAGCCTGGCGACGAAGCGAGACTCTGTCTCAAAAAAAATGAAATAAAATAAAATAATAATAATAATAATAATCAGCAGGGAGTGTTGGCGCGCGCTGTAATCCCAGCTACTGGGGAGGCTGAGGCAGGAGAATTGCTTGATCCTGGGAGGCTGAGGTTGCAGTGAGCTGAGATCGCACCGCTGCACTCCAGCCTGGGAGACAGAGCGAGACTCCATCCCAGAAAAAAAATAAAAAATAAAATAAAAAATAAAAAAATTACAAAACTTTTTTAAAAATTAAAAAACTCAAGGAAACGAAATAATGTACCTTATTGTTTAAATGCTACACTTTGGCATAAAAGAAAGCTTGGCTCAGATTCTAATGCTGCCATTTCCTAATGTGGTTGACCTTGTCTGACCAAGACATTTCAATATTTATGTTCTCATCTTTAAAATCAGGAAAACAATTAGGTCTCATTTGTCTGGTTGTTATGAGGATTAACTGTATTACTGCAAAATCGCGTAGGACAGAGCAGAATACAAAGGCAACACATTTTTCTTTTCAAAGTTTTAAAATAGAATAAGGAAAAAACAAAAATCAATCATCTGTATGCCTTATAACCATCTAAAACCTGAGATATCTCAGATGGAATTTTTGTCTTTCAATTCCTTTTTCTCTGGCTTTCTAGACCTCAAAATAAATCGAACGACTACATACCCAGTTGCTAATACTAAACTTTGGATTTGTCATCTTGACTTCCCGAATTAGTCAGACTTTTTCATAGAAAAAGAACCAAAAGGATACATAATATCTGACTATAGTCTTAGTTTTGGGGACTGCTATAGCAAACTACCATAGACTAGGTGGTTTACTAACAACAGATTTATTTCTCACAGCACTGGAGGCTGGGAAGGCCAAGATCAAGACATAGACAGATTTGGTGTCAGGTGAGACGCCCCTTCTTTGTTCATAGATGACTGTCTTCTTACTAGGTGCTCACATAGCAGAAGGAATGAGGGAGATCTCCAAGTTCTCTTCTATAAGGGCATTTATCCTATTCATTGACCTATACCTACCACAAGCCCCACCTCCTAATACCATCATGTTAGATGTTAGGATATCAATGTATCAATTCTGGGGGAGACACAAACATTTTTTCTATAGCACATATGGATTTATTTTAAGGAATTGGCTCACGTGATTATCTAAGCTAAGAACTCCCCAGATATTTAGGATGAATTGTCAGGCTAGAGACCCAAGAGAGCCAATGGTTTAGCTATATTTCAAAGTCTGAAGACCTGAGAACAAGGAGAGCTGATGTAGTTCCAGTCCAAAGGCTGGTAAACTCAAAACCCAGGAAGAGCTGATCAGTGTTTCAGTTAGAGTCCAAAGGCAGGAAATAATTCAATATCCCAGTTCAAAGATAGGCAGAGAGAGTCTTCTTTCTCAGGTTTTTTGTTTTATTCAAGCCTTCAGCTGATTAAACGATGGCCACTCACATTGCAACAGGCAATCTGCCTGCTCATTCTACCAATTCAAATGTTAATCTCATCCACAAATACCTCACAAAAACATCCAGCATAGACTCTCATGGTGCTTACATTCCACTGAAATAGATGGCTTATAACCAAATTAATGTCTATAGAGGAATGTCAGGAGACACTGTGTACTACGAGGAAAAGATAAAGCAAGAGAAATGATAAAGCTGGTAGTGTAGTGAGGAATAAGGGAAATAGGAGATGAGTCCTTCGGAAGATCTTGTGGGGCCTTATAAGCCAAGGAAAAGAGTTTTGTTTGTTTGTTTGTTTGTTTTTGTTTTTGTGAGATGGAGTCTCACTCTATTGCCCAGGCTGGAGTGCAGCAGCACGATTTCAGCTCACTGCAACCTCTGCCTCCTGGGTTCAAGCAATTCTCCTCCTTCAGCCTCCCAAGTAGCTGGGATTACAGGAATGTGCCGCCATGCCCACCTAATTTTTGTATTTTTAGTAGAGACGGGGTTTCACCATGTTGGCCAGGCCGGTCTTGAAATCCTGACCTCAGGTGATTCACCCACCTAGGCCTCCAAAAGTGCTGGGATTACAGGCATAAGCCACTGCGCCCAGCAGAAATGAGTTTTAATATATGGCTAAAAATGGTGAAAAGCATTGAAAGATCCTGAGCAGAGAACTAACATGACCTAATAAGTATTTTTTTTTTAATTGCTGCCATGTGGGATCAGATTCAGGCATGGGTGAAGGATCTGTGGTGGTCAAAGTGGTTACTTTGAAGCTAACCTGTTCAATAATTGCACCTATATGTAATATAGTAAAAAGATGGCACAATTAATCTATGATGTTTTAAGTTCAGGCAGTCATTATCTTTGATGGCGGATTTGTAACTAGAAGTGAACAAAGGGGTTTTCCAGAGGGCTTGGTAATGTTCTGTTTCTTGATAGGTACATCAGTGTGTTAACTAAGTTGTAGCTATATACTAAAGACATGAGGAATTTTATGAATATAAAATTTAATAGCCCTTTATATGAAAAAAGGAATACACAAAAATATGTATACACAAATGTTTAAGTGACTTCATATACAGCTTATACTGTATTTACAATGAGGACATTATAGACAAAAACTTAATGTTAATTATCAAGAATTGTGAAGTGTCTGAGATCCTACCTTTTACCCTACTTGCAAATTAACAAGTTTCAGAGAAGGTACTAGAAACATGAGACTCCCGAATCAGACGTAAGACTTTCTCATTCATGACGTATTAGGCAGCATGAACTGCATGTCTTTGTTAGTTCTTCTTGCCCTCCAAATGCCAAATGGATGCTGTGAAACAGCCCAAGTCGGTGCTGGGTAGCTTTGTGTAACAGCTAAGGACCCCTGAGTTTAGGATACCAACGATTTTATAAGCGGGCTGCTTGCAAACATACCTGATCTTTGTCAAGGGAAAGGAGATATTATCTCTATCTTCCAAGGCCATTTACTAGGCAAACATCCTTGAAATGAGAATCTGAAACAAATGCCATCAATGCCTCTTCCCAATATGTGTAGAACTGCTAGATACCCATGGAGAATTGCCTGTCAACATTCAGAAGTAGAAAAGAGCTCTTTCTTGCTCATAATATAGATATAAGTCTGAATTTTAAATTTGGAATTAAGTGAAACATAAACTCACTGTTTTGCCTTCATAATCTTATAATTTTGAGATAAGCTCAACTTCAAAAAATTTAATTACATATAATGTTGCTAAATATTTACTTGCTTAATACAGTATTTTAAAACAATTTTTCCACTAAATGATTTTACTTGTGTTGTCTCTATTGGGTTCTCCAGAAAAGTAACCTTGTGATGATAAAATTATTAAATTTGATTTTTAAAAAACCTGTACATTTGAGGTATAGAAGTTACATGATAAATTGAATAAAGAAATTAATGCTTTGCCTTCCATCTGGATTCCAGATTATTTTAAAGAGTCAAAACTGTAATCATTAGTCTCAATCCAGTGAAAGAAAAGAAAGAAAAGTAAACAAAATCATGTCAAAAACAAATGCCAAATGAGTTTTTATAAATTATTTCTATAAATTATATTCTTACTTATTCCACAACCATTGTTCTTTTTGCATAAATATGTTCACATTTCCATATATTAAAGAACAAGTTAAATATATTATTCATTATGTCAAAAATAATGTAAAATCTATACAAATATACTTTTACATCTTTCATAAACATGTCAACATATCATTTTATTATAGTGGTGTTTCTCTCTTGCTTGTGGAGCTTGAATAACCAATTGCTTTTTTAACCTCAAATGTAATTTTTCTCATACATGTAATACTTCATCTACTGATACATAATGTTTGTCCTTTATTCTTGGGGAATGGAGGATGGGAGGCTAATTGAAATTCCACTGAATATGTATATTTGTTTTTTCTGTCCTGGTATTACTGGTATTCCTTCTAGTTTTCAACCATGATGCCAAGGACAAAATTAACATTGTGTTTATGTAGTGCAACACAACTATGATGATACTCAATAAAAACACAATTAACCTCTGAGAATTTGGATCCATAAGAAAACAGTAGCTCTGGGAGTTTCAGTTACCAAAAAAGAAAGTGATGATTCAGTTTTGTACAAAGCTGAAGGAAATAAAGTATCAGAGATTTTTCCCCTTGATTTCCTAGGGGTGCAAAAATAATCAGTAACAGGCAGCAAGGCAAGTTTGTTACACTTTGCTTTACTTTCAGAAAACAACCCTTTTTCTTTGTGGAATGAAGTTTTCTTGTTCACATGCAAATTGTCTCCTCTTTAATGAAGTTTTTATTAGCATCCTTTTATTTTGAGAATAATACCAATGTTTAACAATGGAAATCACTTATCTCCAAGCAAACCAGGAACTCTGATACGTATTTGGAGTTTTAGCCATTTGAAAGTTAGATATATGTCACATTTTCATTTTTTTCTTTCTCATGCAAATGACACTACTTTGTGTGAATAAATAAAAAAGATAATCGAGGCATGGATACCTTGTAGGGATCAGTAGTCCTTTTGGCTATGAAGGCATGAAGTTTTTTGACAAAAACCCATAATTTATATACTTAAATGTCAACCCTTCCTTCCAATGCATCTTAAGAAGTGGATGATTGGCGGGGAGCTGTGGCTTACACCTGTAATCCCAGCACTTTGGAAGGCCAAGGTGGGCAGATCACCTGAAGTTAGGAGTCTGAGACCAGCCTGGCCAACATGGTGAAACCCCATCTCCACTAAAAATACAAAAATTAGCCTGGCATGGTGGCATGCACCTGTAATCCCAGCTACTTGGGAGGCTGAAGCAGGAAAATTGCTTGAACTGGGAGGCAGAGGTTGCAGTAAGCCGAGATCAGGCCACCGCACTCCAGCCTGGGCAACACATCAAGACTCCATCTCAGAAAAAAAAAAAAAAAAAAAAACGAAGTAGAAGATTGAGTAGTGTCCAATGTTACACTGTTCTTTAGCAATACTGGGTACATCAAAGCCAAAAAGAATGCCAGTGTTCACAACTTTATAGTAAGAAGAGAGAGGACTTAAACTGAGCAAGGTTTAGTGTTTGCCTGACTCCTGACAACGAAATCTGCATGTAATGTACACAGTCTTTACTTTCTCAGCACTCAAGGTCTTGATTAGATGCCAAGAGATGTACATAGGAAAAATTGAAAAGGCGATCCTATTACTTCTTCTTGTTCTCAAATTGTTTATCTTCTTATCATCTTCACTGTCAATACTCCACTTTTTCACTGCAATTATCACTCCCCAGAACAGAACTTTCCATGTGGCCTGCTTAACAACTTCATCCTCAACTATCCCCCACCCCAACTATACTCCTTGTTTTTATTCTAGTCAGAAAAGCAATTAGGGTAATAAGAATAATAGAGTCCTTAAGGAAGCTGCCTATGACACGTTCAGATGTATGATGCAGAAAATGGTGAAGAGAGAAAGAAGAGAACCAAACAAAGTAAATGGAAGTCTGTGCATAATTGAGAGAAAGAGGGAGACAATATTTTTTGGAAGTGTAATAGTGAAGACTCCTTGACATTTTAGGATCCTGGAGAATCAGAAAAGGCAGACATTTTAGTAAAAAATTCTATGCACTTTTTCATGTGTGAAAGGTATATACCTTTCACACATGACATAAAGAGACTAAATGCATAATTTGGAGCTCTGAGTCAATCTTAAATATTTCAGTTTTTAAATGCATTTGAATCAGGAAGCCACCACAATGCTTTAATCATGAAGTGGTGTATAGCAGTCTAGGCCAGAGTCACAAGAGGTTATTGTAGCAAGCAGTGAGATGGTGGTTTTAGAGACGACAACAACGAATATTTCCGAGATATGTAAAAGGCTGAAACAATACACTGAGTGATGTATTAAAATTGAATTTTGTGGGAGAGGGAATAGAAAAATGATTCATTTAAGATTAATTTAAGTGGCTTCCAGATTGTGCAGCTAATAAACTGGATGTCCCATCCACATGAATAGCAATCATTAAAGCAGGACTGAATTTGAGTAAAAATCACGCATTTTGTTGTGAAAAAATTGTGTTTGTTGGGACTGTGTATCTAAGCAGATATAATAAACAAAGAGTTGGATATACTTGACTTATATTTCTTAGGAAAGAATAGAGGTAATTGTAGGAAAATGGCTTGATTCTGGATGGTTCTAGAGTTGAGGTCTCTGTATTATTTTTTCACCATTTTCTTCATATACGAGTGTGCACAAATTATTTAGATTTCTAGCCACTTTGGCTATCTGTAAAATAGGAGTAATGATAGCACTTAATCTTATTGAATTATTGTAAAATTAAATTATGTTATCTATGTTAAGTCTACTCTAAAGGAAACAACAAGGGAAGGTTTTCTCATTATAACATTACATTTTTTTCACATAGGATATTGCTTAGCTAACATCAGTATTATTACAGATACACCCATATAAGTGTATACATGCAATGATGTAACCCCATTAAATCAGAATTTTTGTCTCACATATCTTTGCTGTTCTACTGTTGCCCAGCACTTAAGCACTCTTTATCGTTTATAGATTTAAAGCGAATAACATTTCTGCTCATCACTTCAGAACTGGATTTTGTCCAGCTTTTAAAATCAAGGACCAATAGCCCTTGGCAGAGATACACACACAAACACACACGCACACACTATATATATATATATATATTATATATATATTATATATATATTATATATATATAATATATATATAATATATATATTATATATATAATATATATATTATATATATATAATTTATATATGCATGTATATAATTTTAGGGAATAGAATAGTGCATGGATTCTGGAGCACACATTTCATAACTTGATTTTATGCTCTCATAACTTTCATTTAGGATTTTCGTATGTTTATTCAAGTCACTTCAAATAAATAAGATATTTAGAGTCTGGCTCTTTGTCTTCAACTTGTTTCTTATTCTTTAAAGCTACTAGAAATAATTTAGTATATACAAGAAGTGAAATCAATATTTCATAGAGTCATAGCACCTAAACAGTGGCATGGAAATTAGAGTTACCTTTCATTGTGTACTGCAGATGAAACCGTGACCCAGAAAAGCTACCTAACTTGAGTGAGTTTACGAACTCCAGTAAAGCAGAGGCTGGCCTAGAATTGGACTTTATAACCCCTATTTGTCACTCTACCATAACATATTGCTTCTCTGTTCATTCATTTCTTGACCAAGAAACAACAGGAAAAAAGAAAAAAGAGGGAAAAAAAAATATGTATCAGAGCAATCAAGGTACTTGGAAACCAGTAATGATGGAAAAAGTTCACTGGCATTAAAAAAAAAAAAAAAAAAAAAAAGAGACTTGCAGATGCTCCAGCCTAGCTGAACGAAGATAGCATCTGTCACTGTGTTAGTTCCCTATTGTTGTTGTAACAGGTGATCACCAATGTAGTGGCTTAAAACACCATTTATTATATACAGAAGTGAAATTCTATGGGAGTGAAGTCTACTGTGGTGGGGCTACTTTTCTGCTTAAGGCATCACTAGGCTAAAACCAACGTATTGGCCCGGGCTACACTTTTCATCTGGGGCTTGGATTGTTTTTTTTTTTTTCTTTGAAACAGAGTCTTGCTCTGTCACCCAGGCTGGAGTGCATTGGCACGATCTCGGCTAACTGCAAGCTCCATCTCCCAGGTTCATGCCATTCTCCTGCCTCAGCCACCTGAGTAGCTAGGACTACAGGCACGCGCCACCACGCCTGGCTAATTTTTTGTATTTTTAGTAGAGATGGGGTTTCACTGTGTTAGCTAAGATGGTCTCTATCTCCTGACCTCGTGACCCGCCCGTCTCGGCCAGATTCTTTTCTTAAATGCATTGGTTGTTGGAAGAATTCAGGTAAATTCAACTGTGGGACTGATGTTTCCATTTCCTTGACACATGGCCCCCTTTCATCTGCAAGCCAACAATGGCCTGTAGTGTCTTTATGTTTTGAACCTCTCTAACTTTTCCCGTTGCCAAATCTCTCACTACCTTTTCTGCCATAAAGGAAAAGGAAGCTCTGCTTTCTTAAGGGCTCATGTGATTAGGTTGGTCCCACCCATATAAACTAAGGTGCTCTCCCTTTTTTAAAGTTAACTAGTTAGTAACTTTAATTACATCTGCAAAATCACTTATGCTATATAATGTAACATGTTCATGAATATGACATGAGGAGATAAAAGTCACGAGGACCAGCCGGGCACAGTGGCTCATGCCTGTAATCCCAGCACTTTCCTAGGCCAAGCCAGGCGGATCACAAGGTCAAGAGATCGAGACCATCCTGGCCAACATGGTGAAACCCCGACTCCACTAAAAATACAAAAATTACTTGGGTGTGGTGGCATGTGCCTGTAGTCCCAGCTGCTTGGGAGGTTGAGGCAGAAGAATCGCTTGAACCCGGGAGGCAGAGGTTTCAGTGAGCCGAGATTGTACCGCTGCATTCCAGCCTGGTGACAGGGCGAGAGTCTGTCTCAAAAAAAAAAAAAAAAAAAAAGTCGCGAGGACCAAAATTGTGCCTATCCTTGTCACAACCCAAAGCTAAAATATTGCTACAAAGGAAATGGTATCAGCCCTGATATCAAACTTATTGCATTTCCAATTTGTCAAATAATGAAACGCAACATGCATCACATAATACTATAGCCAATGTATATTTTATGAATGGTAGATTCAAACAGAAGTACAACCAGTAAAAAACTTGGTGCTGTGAAGCAGTTGATGGCAATATATTGTAATGTCTTTTTAGCTGCTAATCTTACAATGCAGGTTCTGATCTTATTATCATATCCATTTTTGAAGCTGAGTATAAAATATGTGTTTGTAACTACGTGAATGTTCTGAAAACATTAAGAATAAATTATAATTTCTAAAATGAAGTTAAACCAAGGAACTAAGATGTATTCCATAAACATAGCTATTATGGAAATAGACAACGTAGTCTTTTGGTTAAAATGCATAGCGCTCCACAGTCTGTATATAAAAGGCAGTCCTGGGAGATAACTGAAAGTCATGTTGTCAATACTATCAAGAGCATTAAGATTTGATAGTGTTTGAATACTATCAAATAGCATCTATGTAAATAAAAGAGTGTTTATCTGGGTGGTTAAAAGAGAATGTAGATTACCCTGGGATTTATTGACTGAAACCAAGATGTAAACTTTAAACCTCTTTGTTCCTGGATTGTTGGCCTCAAGATTGTTCTCCTGAGATTTGCAGTTGCTGCAATGAACAAGTAATGCTTCAAAATCTTCACCTCTTTGTTTTCAAATCCTCTGTGTTGTTTTGTCTGGGAATCTATTTTATTTCTTATTCTTCAAAGTGAAGCGATTGGACACTCTTACTTGATTTCTCCCTCTCAGAAAGAAATGGTATGTAATGTACTAATATCCTGGATTTTCTTTTGTGCACATCAATGTGAAGGAAGAAACTATCTGACATAACGTGGCTTCAAATAGAATCCTTATGTACACACTGATTCCATATATGGAAACCACAACACTACTCTTCCCCAAAAATTAAGCAACAATATAAGAAGAAAAGAAGTCTTTATTCTTTTATTTTTAAAAACAACAAATAACACATGTGCAGCAGTTTACATGATAACAGTTGTTACAAAATATTGTTTTATTCTCAATAAACAATTGAGAATAAGGAGACTGTTTAATAATGTAAGAGATCCCCTTTATACTCATTTTCTTTAGGAATCTAATTCTTTGTGACTATTTTCTATAGTTAGATACATTTATAGGTGTAACCAATTGTCCAGAACTCTAAAGGAATCATCAAGGGCAAGATAGAATATGCCCAGAGTAAAGACTAAAGAAGAAGTTTTATATCATTAGAAAATGATCATACAAAAAATGATATATTTTTATATCATGTAGGAATAGCATATAAAAGAAGGTTTCAATGGCACACAGTACCAATCACACTCCAACCAAGAAAACAAAATCTATTCTAGAGCATTTGAAACAGACAGAATTCAATGCGGGGAACTGATAATAGGAAGTAGAATAGCTGAGACCCCAACTAGGTATAGTAAGGCAGCGTAACAAAAAGCTCCTACTGCTGTTTCCTGTGGGGATGCAGTATTTCTAAAACACTGGGGCTGGGTCACCCAGTGAGAGCTGGAACCAAGCAGACCTCTTCTGTGGAAACTCCAAGCCAGCTGCTAGAGATGCCACCTGATGTCATATTGGAAAAGAAGAAATATCCAGGTTTTTCCCTCCGGCTCTCCAGAGGCCCTCCACTGCTTCTGATTGGCTGAAGTCAGAGTAAGCAGAAAGCTCAGAGGAAAGCAGAGAATAGTGAAATATTATTAAAATAGGAATGACCCCTATATAATTGCAAGGGAGATTATAATAAAGCAAAGAGGAAAAGCAGAGAGAATAAGAAATTATTCTATTTTGATATTTATTAGAATAACTGTATTTTTGGTCAAAGAAAAGAGTCAAACTCTGTAAAACATTTGAGATTTAGTCTGAGCCAAATATGAGTAACCATGGCCTGTGACACAGCCCTCAGGAAGTCCTGAGACTATGTGCCCAAGGTGGTTGGGGCGCAGCTTGGTTTTATACATTTTAGGGAGGCATGAGACGTCAATCAAATATATTTAAGAAATACATTGGTTTGGTCCAGAAAGGTGGGACAACTCAAGCAGGGACTTCCAGGCTATAGGTAAATTTAAACATTTTCTGATTGATAACTGGTGAGTTTATCTAAAGACCTGGGATCATAAAAGGGAAATGTTCAGGTTAAGATGAAAGATCATGGAGACCAAGATTCTTCTGATGGCTGCCCTTAGAGACAATAGGTGACAAGTGTTGAAAAGGTGCTAGACTTTTAGTTAATCTCTTTAGGACTGGGAGAGCCTAGAATTAAAAAAATCTAGCTATGTTAATAGAGATTCTTTACAGATGTAAATTTTTCCCCCACAAAGGACAACTTTGAAGGGCGATTTCAAGATATGGCAAAGAAACATGTTTTGGGGTAAAATATTTTCATTTTCTTCCTTGTCTCGTAATGTTATGCCAGAGTAAGATTGTAAAGTAAGTCAGATATATAGGGTTAAATAACACCCATCTGATGAGAATTTATGATTTGTAGGGCATGACTCCCCAGGCCCCTTTGATAGGAACCTGGACAAGACAAAAATATCGGAGTTTAGTCCTCAGATGATGATTTCATCTTAATGTTAAAATAACTACGACCATGCTTGATTGAAAGCTCACTATGTGTCATGGGGTGTACTCATCTCTTTGCTTATATTCTCTCACATTATAAGATGAACGTTCTGTTAAACTGCCCCTTTAATGTATATCTGTGCTTAGAGACATTTAGCTGCAAAATAGAAAAAGACTAGCATAAAGTCATATAGCCAGGAGGTTACAGAGTGGGTAATCATGTGCAGGGATTTTTACTTCAAAACGTTTCTCTGACCATTACACTGTTATGCCTCCCTGACAAGATTGCTAGCAAACTTGGCTAATTATTTTGATAAATATATTGATTCAGCTTTGCTGAGCTTGGAGATCGATATTATCTTAGTGTTAGAGTTTTTAAATGCAATTAAGAGTTGAGGGGAAAAAAAACGACCATGACAGACTATGAAATTAATCTATATTACAAAATACTTATAGCAAGAGGAAGAGGAAGTTCAAATAACTCTACTGACCTTTTAGTTTAAATTAGCGTGTGTTTGGATTAGTAGCTCATGTACTCATCTGACTAAAAAACATAATCAAAAGTGGGCTTGTTGTATGTGGCAAGTGTGGCCAAAACTGCTGAATTTAATGAAGAGAAATGTGTGTGCGTATGTATACACATATGAATGCATCAAAAAGAAAAAACAAGAAAAATATGTTTTTCTTCTCTTTGAAATAGAAAATTAGAGAGTTTGAAATAGAAAACTTTTTCCCCTTGTCCTAGGGAAAAAGCATCCCAGGCTTATCAAGAGTTCTCACATCAGAGTGCTTTTTAGAAAAAGTCAGGAAATGTATTCAGTTAAGTTGAAGTGTTTTTTTTCAATTACAAAATATTTTGATTTGCTATATACTTTTATTCATCCTTTCATTTTAGCAGAAAAACAAATAGCAGAGCAGTTTAATTTACCTGATAATCTTGAATGGCCTCTAAATAATTTCTAAATACATTCATATTTTATTGTATAATGTTATAGGGAATTACTTGAAGAAGATTTTCAAATAATATGAGTAATATTACATTATTTTTATGTCTTATTTTAACTTTACTATGAATTCTAGAACAGAAATACATGTAATATAGACACGAAAAGTCATTAATTTCAAGCAATTCCTTCATAAAAATTATAGTACCCGTGTATGTATACATGCATTTCAAATTTCAAATATATTTGATGGCTTTGTAAGAACTTTCTCTTTGTTTATGATAGGTAGATGTAAAGCTTCCAAAGGTAGGCCATCTTTTGGCCAGTGAGAACGGAAAGTGTCTCTTCCACATAAGCAAGATGTGTATTAACAAAAATGACTTTTGGGGTAGCACAATTACCATGCAAAGTGTTGGAAAATATGAAGCATCTCTTGACCAAAATTGAGGACAGATGGTGAACAAGTATATTATATAAAAGTGCAACTGTGCAGGGAATATTCAAGTGGGCAGAATATGATTATGTAAATGAAAAAATTCACTTGTAACCAAGAGCACCAAATGCATAGTGAAACGCAAATTGAATTATTCAACAAAGTATAGAGAACAGAGAACGTTCCTAGATTTATGATCAGAGCCTAAAGGGTTGGTCTCAGGGAAAACGGGAAAGCAGCTACATATAATCCATGCTCTTCTTACCTAAATTTTTATGTTTAATTTATTGTACAATAAAGAGCAACTTTTAAAGGTATATCTCTCTTTAGCCCATTTTGTTAGTGTCATCTAAGAGAATCAGTTGACAAATAAATATGTATTTGGTTGTAACAAGAGTGTTACCTCCATAGTGGTATTTCTTGAAAGGAGATCACAGGAAAGGGCAATGAATAAATACCACCACCCACCCACCCAAGAAAATAAAAGGAAAGTAATGATTTGGGGAACATTTTGAAGTACTCAGATCATGGAATATAGTTGAGTAACTATTTCAACTCTCTTTGTAGAATCCATGGTTGCGCACTCAAGGAGTTAAGAATATGCCACTGAAACTGCCTTTGTGAAAACTATACAGTGAGAAAATTATGGCAGTGAGGGAGATCTGATATGACCAACCTCTCTCTTGCCCTTAGCCTTCAAGTTGTCTTTAATTATTTTGGGCTTAAGCCAAGCTAACTTTGGGAGACATTTAGTTTATAGTTTAAATGATGATAGCCTTTCCCCAAAACTGAACCGCCTTTGTAACATTAATGAGAGACCACCAGGCTAGGAGGATAGAGGAGCCTGAAATCTGCTAAGGTGTAGACATAAATGATTACCAAACATTATTCCCAAGGTCACAAGATTTGCAACTTCCCCAATTGCTTCTGCAGATAACATCACTATTGTAGCACCTATGATTGGCCTTTTGAGATATCTTTTCAGGTATTTTGCATGTATGACACTGATTACTCCATCTGGACCCACCAAACACTCCTGTAGCCCCACCTAGAAGCAAGGAAGAGCACAGGAGGACCATTTCCCACAACCCTATGATTGCACTGTCTTCCAATCAGAAGTGAGTGCCTATTGCCTAGCCACCCCCACCCCTTCCCCCAAATTACCTTTGAAAAACTTCTAACATCCAAGCCTTTGGGGAGATTGATTTGAGTACTACCCCTGTCTCCCATGTAGCGTACCTGGCCTCATGTCTATTAAACTTTTCCTTTTCTGTCATGCCATTGTCTTTGTGTGTTCACCAGCAGGAAGAACCTGTCAGATGAAGAAGAGGTTCACCCTGAAGAAGGACCCCTAAATAGGGTGCTCTGGCATATTGGCTATTTTGAATTAAAGGCACTTAAACAAAACACAGCAGGTGCAAGATGTTTATGCTGGTGTTTATTCTGTTGCTTAAAAACAGGAGATAAAACTCTCATAGGAAAGATGTCCTCCCTATACCAAAAAGAAACTAGCATTTTATTATGAAGGACAGGAGATTGAAGCCTAGGGAAATATGCACAAACAAATCTTGTTAAACTAAACTTTATCTTCCCAGTCCCTTTTCTGCCAAATTAACTACCCTAGTCCAGGCCCTTTTACCTTGTCTAATTTCAAAATGTACTATTATTTGCCCAGTTCACTATGTAAGTGACTCCAACTACTTCTTTCGGTTTTCCTGTCCTTATGAGGGCTTCTTTCTGTGCCAGGTAAAACTTATGTTATGTAAATATGTGCCCTTTTTTCCTGCTAATCTGTCTTATGTCAATTGAATTTTTCACTAAGCTGGGACTCTATGAGGACAGAACTTGAGTTTTGCCTCCTCTACAATACCTTTGATAATCTGAGTACTTTCTTCAACAGTCTTCAATAAATAAAATATACTTTTTGTGGTATAGGTACAGATACAAACAAAAATCAAAATTCAGAGTGTTTCCAATTGTTTTCCTCTTGATTACTGTTAAGGACTGTAAAGTGCTTAAGATGTCAGCCTGCTTGTGAGCTAACAGCTTAGCATGCTGGGTTCATGGATGCTGGTAGAAGGCATGAAACTGACAGGTCAGAGGCAATGTACTTCATTACTCATAGTGACAGCAGTAAACAGTATTATCAGCATGTTTTGTGCTTGTTCCCTGAACCTGAAATCCCATAAGGTGATGTGAAAAAGACCAAGTGATACCTGCACATGCAGTAGTTGCATTACAGCAGAGGACTCCTGAACTTGGAAATTCTGAATCATTTATAATGGGCAGTAGGCATGCTTGACTTTTGCTCTGGAGGGGGATGTTATCTCTATCTCCCAAAGCTGTAACTAGACCTACCCTTCGCTCCAGTGAAAGAATTCATTTCTGTCTTCCATCCTTGAAAACATGGTTCAGAACTAAAGGCCAGTTAGTACCGCATTTGCAGGCTATACAGAAACACAAGAGATGCATGGAAAATTGTCTCCCCCAAATTCCAAATATCATAAAGAGTAAAATGAATTATGATGATCAGCCCCTTATAAAGTAGGTAGTATTTTTTCACACCCTTTAATGATGTTTCTTCTTATCCAGTATTTGTCTCAAAATATTCTGGTAATCGCTTGGTAAAAATTTATAAACTTTTCTTTTTCAAAATATGCATTGTAAAGTATAAAAATAGTTGTATCAAATCTGTAATATTTTTATATTTTTTAAAGTAATGCAATACATACAGCTTTCATTTTCTAATGGGGGTTGCTGAAAAAACCTGGATCAGTGCTCCAAATCCCTTCCAAATTCATTATGAGCCTAATGTGACATAAGACATATTATTACTGAGAAGGCATCTACAACCTGTCATTATTTGTCATCTGTGTTATCACTCAGGATGGAATTTCCACAGCAATAAAATCACTCTATGTCTAAGTGTTAAACTTCAGGCTTAAGTTGCCCATATGATGAGTTCCTATCTACTTTTTTCTCTCTGTCAGAGCCCAGCTGTACAAAATTGAGTTGATCATATACCTCAGGTCATGGCTCACTAGCCTCATGGCAAGATGCCACAATTCTGATTCCTTATGGTATTTTATCTTCATCCCTCTTCCCCACGCCTTCACGTGTCTAAAAACAATCATTCCAGAGTATACCAATCCTTCTACTATACTCTTCATACTTTTCCTTATGAGTATCATAAAAATATTATCTTTTTGATTATGCATTGTATTAATCTGTTTTCATGCTGCTGATAAAGACATACCCAACACTGGGTAATTTATAAAGGAAAGAGATTTAATGGACTCACAGTTCCACATAGCTGGGGAGTCCTCACAGTCGTGGCAGAAGACGAAGGAAGAGCAAAGGGACATCTTACATGGCAGCCCGCAAGAAGGCTTGTGCAGGGGAACTGCCCTTTATAAAACCATCAGATCTCATGAGACTTATTCACTACTAGGAGAACAGTATGGGGGAAATTGCCCCTATGATTCAGTTATCTCCTCCTGGCCCTGCTCTTGACACATGGGGATTATTACAATTCAAATTGAGATTTGGGTGGGAACACAGCCAAACAATATCATGCATTATTCTTAATTGCAAAAATTATATTTGTTAAAAATATTGCTCAGTTCCAT
Source organism: Homo sapiens (assembly GCF_000001405.40). NCBI lineage: Eukaryota > Metazoa > Chordata > Mammalia > Primates > Hominidae > Homo > Homo sapiens. The sequence continues at coordinate 22,107,994 of NC_000005.10, read as the reverse complement.
GCTATTACTGAACATTATAGTTTTGAGCTCTATCCATGTTGCTGCATGTAAATTTAGTTCATTACTTCTGATTGCTTTATAGTATCTCATCTTATGCCTGTAACACATTTTATATCCCTGCTGCTTTAGTGATGCACAGATATGTGACTCTTCTATTTGTTACAACAAAAAATATAATGATAAAAATCTTCGTGTGTATCTCCTCATGGACCCATAGGAAAAGTAGATTATAGTGTATTCACGTTGTCTAATACAGGCCAGTAAGATGTATATTATCCCCTGCCCCCTTTGTTTACCTTTTTATTTCTTCTTATTATGAACTTTTGGTAAAGTATCGTTGATATAAAAGATTTTTCAGTATAATTATTCTTCATTTTTACCAAAGTAATTAATCTTCACATTTTATCACATGGGAATGAGACTTTTGACATAGAAGATAGCCTAATGCCTAACAATTTACTGATTATTATATGTATATATACACATATAATTATTATATGTGTATATATACATACGTATGTATATACGTATATACACATATACATATATATATGAAGAGCAGAAGGCCCAGCACGGTGGCTCACGCCTGTAATCCCACACTTTGGGAGGCCAAGACGGACGGATCACCTGAGGTCAGGAGTTCAAGACCAGCCTGGCCAACATAGTAAAACTCTATCTCTACTAAAAATAAAAAAATTAGCCAGGCATGGTGGTGGGCGCCTATAATCCCAGCTCTCCAGAGGCTGAGGCAGGAGAATTGCTTGAACTTCGGAGGCAGAGATTGCAGTGAGCCGAGATCGTGACATTGCACTCTAGCCTGGGCAACAAGAGCAAAAATCCATCTTAAAAAAAAAAAAAAAAGTAGAAATGTGGCATTGTGGCATTGTCCCAAGGCTAATTTTGACATCCTTTGGGCACTTGGAGTTGAATTGCCACAGTCTAGGACCCCAGTAGAATGGGTAGCTGGGAAAAAGGAAAGAAGCTAAGGACAAGTCCAAGGGAAATGAACAAAAACACCTTCCTTTGTTGTTCCTCCTATCATCTGAGTGATGCTGGAAGGCTCATCTATTAGATTTTTACTCCTCTTCAAAGTTATATTTCTATTAAGATGCATATAACTCAATATTAATACATCTTACACTAGGTAAAATTGATGCCATTTAGTAAAACTGTTGGATGGCATAGCAAAGAGAAACATAAGCATCCTCACAAGTTATTACTTGATGGATACAGAGTAATTTTTAGTGCATACTGTTGGAGGGATATTCTTTTCTGAAGCATGAGGAGTTCTTGGACGTTTTCCCAGCTAGGGTGAATGCACAGGCTTGGAGCCATGGGATAGGCAGGTAGAATTCTTTTCTGTCTCAGTTTCTTCATCAGTGAAATGCACATGATAAAAACAATGGAGGGGTTTTTAAAGTATTAAATGACTGATAACATAAAGTTTTTAGAAGAGTGTCTGTAGTTTAGAACATAGTCAAATTCAATAAATATTTTCCCTTGTTATATTATATAACATTATTACATGAATTAGTCAATACAAGATATTAGGACAATTAGCACATCTACTAGGTAAAATACAGCTGAATATCTACCTTATCCTGTATGTCAAGATACATTCCAAAATGATTGAAAATTTGCATAAAAATGAAATGACAGTACTAGAGAAAAACATTAGAAAATAGACAAAACACAGAGAAATCTTGTTTTTTTAACTTTTATGTTTGGGGATACATATGAAGGTTTGTTACATAGGTAAACTCATGTCACCGGGTTGTTGTATACATTATTTCATCATCCAGGAATTAAACCCAGTACCCAATAGTTACCTTTCCTGCTCCTCTCCCTCCTCCCACCCTCCACCCTCAAGTAGAACCCAGTGTCTATGGTTTCCTTCTTTAACACAGAGAAATCTTCATGGAAAGAACAACAAATCAGACCATGAAAAATGGAAACTTCTATGGCAATAGTATTCCACAAACCAATCATAGGACATATACCAACCTGGAAATAATATTCACAATACATCTGACAACTATATACTAGCTATAAAGCCCTTAACATTTAAGGAAAAGTTATATTATCCTGTGATACATTTAATTGTGTACCTCCCCAAAATAAGACATGCTGAGTCTCTTTATACTTCAGAATGTGACCTTTATTTTTAAAAATAGGGTCTTTGTAGAGGCAATCAAGTCAAACTGAGGTTATTAAGATAGGGCCTAATCTAACACAAATGATGTTTTTATTTTATTTTATTTTATTTTACTTTATTTTATTTTATTTTATTTTATTTTTTAACAGAATATTGCTCTGTCACCCAGGCTGGAGTGCAGTGGCACAATCTCAGCCCACTGCAACCTCTGCCTCCTGGGTTCAAGCGATTATCCTTCCTCAGCCTCCCGAGTAGCTGAAACTACAGGTGCAGAACACCACACCTGGCTAAGTTTTGTATTTTTAGTAGAGACAGGGTTTCACCATGTAGGCCAGGCTGGTCTCGAACCCCTGACCTCAGGAGATCCTCCCTCCTTGGCCTCCCAAAGTGCTGGGATTACAGGCTTGAGCCACCAGGCCCAGCCTGGCGTTCTTATTTGAAAAATGAGGCTGGGCTTGGTGGCTCATGCCTGTAATCCCAGGACTTTGGGGGGCCGAGGTGGGCGGATCACGAGGTCAGGAGATCAAGACCATCCTGGCCAACATGGTGAAACCCTATCTCTACTGAAAATATAAAAAAAATTAGCTGGGTGTGCTGGTGCATGCCTGTAATCCCAGTTACTCGGGAGGCTGAGGCAGGAGAATCACTTGAACCAGGGAATTGGAGGTTGTAGTGAGCTGAGATCGTACCACTGCATTCCAGCCTGGCAACAGAGTGAGACTCAATCTCAAAAAAAAAGAAAAGAAAAGCAGAAATTTGGAAACAGAGACAGACATACGCGCAGGGAAAGATGATGTGAAGTCACAGGGAGCATATCGTGTATGAGCCAAGGAAAGCATGAAGCCACTAAAAGCAAGGAGAGTCATGCACCTGATTCTTTCTCATAGCCCTCAGAAGAAATCAGCCCTAGCAACACCTTAATTTCACCAGAATGTGAGACAATAAATTTCTGCTGTTGAAGCCGCCCAGTTTATGGGTGGCTTTGTAAAATTTTTATGGCAGCCCTAGCAAATGTATACATCTCTCACTGAAAAAGAGATAAAAATAATAGCATACAATTAAAAATTAAAATCAAATACCAACTATTATTAGGCTGGTAAGGATCAAAAAGTCTGAAGTAAAGAGGATTCTGGAGGATAAAGGACTATGGGCTCTCCGAGACTTTTGGTAGGGTTGTAAATCACTGTGTTCCACTTGAAGAAAGATATAGCAACATCAGCCAGTATTTCTAATGCACACGTTCCTGAACAGATTGGGGTAGATATCCTATTGTAAATTCTTAGAAAAGATACACTTTCCTTCAGGGATATCCCTGCTAATAACAAAACAAACAATTTTAAAAACAAAGTTTTTTTTTTCCTTTCACACTCAGGTCTTTCTTTTATTTATTCTTTCCTTTTCTTTTTTCTCATTTAATTTGACTTAAAATAAAGCAATATCTCTTTCCAAATACATACTTCACAAAGACTGTTTAACACACAAAAGTGGACATTTGTGGAACTTTGATCCAAAAACATTTCAGATGATACTAATTTTTATATAATCTAATTCAAATGCCTACAAGGAAATTTGCAATAGCTACTTGAGAGCTAATTATTTTTTAGTATTTTCTAATACATTATGGCTATAACAGATAAATATTTATTTTGTATGGTATACTCAATATAATGTAGGTATGATATCTATTTACTTTCAAGGTTTCTGTTACTATTTGATTAGCTTCTCAATCTATAAAGCTATAGGTTTTGTCATTAAATTTTCCCATAACTTTCCATTGTGAGTTCACCTAAAGTGCAGCCTCACCAGAGACTGTTGCTTTGTTTAATTTCAGTGAATACAACCCTTACAAATGCATTATTGATTTTTCTTCCAAACCATAATGATGCAAAGTGCGATAGAGTACCTTGACAAATTTATGTTTATTGCCAAAAACCTAACTTGACAAGCAGATGTGACTTCCTTTACTTACATAGTGTCATTATTTCATATGCTTCTCTGTCACTGATGTTGCATTTGGATAAATATTCACTACAAAATCATGTTAAATGAAATAAATGGAAAACATAACTTTCTGAGATTAAATGAGAAATGAAAGTACTATGTTATTTTCACTGCCTTTGATATATAACCTTCAATTCAGAATGAGTGACTTTGAAAGCCTAGAATTACACACATTTCTTCATGAGCTGTATTAATCAGTAAAGCAATATAGTTTCTGGATTTTATTAGCAGTTTAATAAGCAATAAACGATTAGCTGCATAAGAAGCGATAAGGATTCTGCTTGCAGTGGAGAAGGAACACAATGCAATTTATGAAATTAAAGGAGCTCAGCACCTGTCTAAGTCAATATTCATCTACGTGTTCACACCAGCAAATAGAGGGCAGTTTATTTATCATTTGAGAAAATCAGTGTTGATGAGCAGCTGCAGAGGTGCTAAGATCTTTTCCTCTATCATTTGGATGGCTGGTTGTAAGAATGAAAGCTAACTGCATCAGGTCTTAAGTTCAATGTTAACCTATTTTTCACCTATCATAAGAGCATCACAACTCCTAAGACAGACAGAGCCAGGGTGAAAGAAGAAAAATCATCATCATCGTCATCATAAATTTTAAAAATAGAAAGGTTGTCAGATTTACTTCCATGAGACCAGATACATTCAAGATCCGAGATTAGAAGCTGTCATGGTAGTATGGCTTTTGTTTTTCTTTCTCTGTCACCTATCTGCCTGTCTCTAAGTGCTGAAAGTCAGAGCAGGCATCTGCTGAAATGCTGTGTTCATTAATCAGCAGAGTGGGAAACGTACACGAGCCACACTGGGGATATTACTGCAGAGCCCCTAATGATATAGGTCAGTGTAGATGCGTGCCTGTTCCTCACTCTGGGATGCAGTGTTTCCTACAGTATGTTAAAGGGGAGCTGATCTGTCTTAGCTCATTTCATGGCATCTGATGAGGATCTTCTTGCTGCATCATTCCATGGCTGAACAGAAGGCTGAAGAGGGTAGGGAGAGAGAGAGAGCGTGAATCTACTCTGGAGATAGCTGCATTAATCCACGGAGTTCTCATGGCCTAATCATTTTTTGTTAGGCCCCTCCCCCCAACACTGTTACATTGGGGATTACATTTTCTTATTATTTATTTATGTATTTATTTATTTATTTATTTATTTATTTATTGGAGACGGAGTCTCACTCTGTCCCCCAGGCTGGAATGCAGTGACGCGATGACTGCAACCTACGCCTCCCGGGTACAAGCGATTCTCCTGCCTCAGCCTCCCAGGTAGCTGGGACTACAAGTGACCGCCACCATGCCTAGCTAATTTTTGTATTTTTAGTAGAGACGGGGCTTCACCATGTTGATCAGGCTGGTCTTGAACTCCTGACCTCAGATGATCCACTTGCTTCGGCCTCCCAAAGTGCTGGGATAACAGGCGTGAGCCACCGTGCCCTGCCAGGGGATTACGTTTTCAACAAATGCTTTTTGGAGGACACATTCAAACCATCGCACTACTTTTTCAAAGCACCCAGGAGCCATTATTTGAGAACCCGTATCTTGGTTACAAAAAATAAATGCTGGTAAAGGATGGAGAAAGCTCTCTGGACGTCATAATGTCTTATTATCTCAGTGGATTCCAAAGTTGATTTTAAAACACTTCATATATTTGGGGAAAAAATTAAACAAACATAACAGTTTTAAAGATGGGGAAAGTCTGACGCCAATATCCAATTATCAGTGACTTTATAAATATATATTTTCACTTCACCTCTCTAAAGATACTGTTAAAAGAATCTTCAGATTTTAGAGGTCAGCAATCTATGGCCCCTAGTCAAATCCAGGTCATTTCCTGATTTTGTAAATATGGCACTATTGGAACATAGTCATACCCATTTGGTTACATATTGGTTATGACTTCTTGTGAGCTACAATGGCAGAGTTGAATAGTTGCGACAGAGACCTTAAGCTCCACAAAGCCTAAAATGTGTACAATTTGGTCTTTCTCAGAAGTTTGCCAATACCTGAATTATAACATTAATAGAAATCTGCATCCCAGTTTTCTCATCTGCAGTTTATAAATTTCCTCACTTGTATCACATTTCCTTGGAAATAATATTTTCTACTTCTTTTAGTTTATAAAATTAAAAACAATGGAGCAAGTGGTTTTCATATGCTATGTGTTTTCTCATAGACCTTAATTTTTGAGTTTTCTTTTAATTTTCTTCATTTGTCTTTAATGTTCCTTATTAAGATGGAAAATACTTCTGTGCAGACTTGAAGCCTAAGATAAAACTGGCTATGGTCCACAGGAACTCTGGAAGCAATACACTTTCCATTTTCTGGGAAAATTAAATAGTCATTGTTGCATTCTAAGTTGTCTGCTGAGACCCAGATCTTAAGAAAGTTTTGGAAGTATGTAAAAGAAAGAAGAAGAAGAAAAACAGTTGTGTTCTATAATGTTGCAAATATATTATAAATTTCCCATAACAATACATATAAATATACAATACATACATACCGGGAGTACACGACCAGTCTTTTAAATATGGGAATAAAATGTTCAAATAATTACATCAACCTCATTTTTAATATCTGTATGGAGATGAAATTGTGTGAATTTTGCTCAGTAAAAGTCTCGGTGTCTAAAATTGTTCCTAGATAATATGAGGCACCCAATAAATATTTGCATGCTGAAGAAATGAGCAAAGTTCTGGGCATTAATATAAGTAATTTTATTTTCTTGGTGCGTCACATTTGCAAATTTTTACATACAGGTAATATCTGGTTTTTGTAATAAAAATAGTGATTTCAATGCATAACACATTTGATTTTATAATTTAGAAATAAGAATCTATTGTAAAATAATACAGCAAAAGAAATCAAGAATAAATTTCATGTAAGGCAGCTGATACCTTGGTAAACAATGGACATAACTCATCTGGTTGAATGAGTTCTAAATAAAACATTTTAATAAGTGAAATTATTGAATAATTCTCAAAATAAGAAAACCCATTTATATCCCCAGTGGTATATGAAATTCAGGAGGACCACAACATGCAGGGTGATTTTAACAAATCAATAGTGTAATGCAGTAATTTATAATTTAACTAAATGTATTATTTAAAGTAGAATGGGTTATCTAAATAAAAGAGTGTATGTGTGTGTGTGTGTGTGTGTGTGTGTGTGTGTGTCTAATGTATGGCATATAGTAGATAAAGGAGCCATAGTGACACTGGTAAGATTTTTATAGAGAGTAACAGAATCATTTTTCAGATTCATATTTGAAGGTTTGTAATTAGACACATCAAGAGTTAAACTTAATATCAAAATGTGAGGTAAATTCTAAGGACAAAAATGTCTCGTGAGACTTGTGTGATCTTGTTTTTGCCAGGAATTATGGAATTAGAGCATATTTGCTGCTTACTAAATGTTTCTCTCTTGCTTAATAGTATTTCCTTCCTTTTTGTCACCTCTTACTATTTTTCTATTTGAAAAATTATAATTCAGTCTCTACGCACAGTCCTCAATATATCTCTCACTATCCCTCCAATAAATTACAAGGAAAACTTCTCTAGTGTTTAATTTAAGGTTTAGAATCAGGGATGCATACATTTTTAAAGACTGGTTAATAAGTAAGTATTTTTTTATCTGAAACAGACACAATATTTTCTTGGTTTTTAGAAATTCAGTTGATAGCTTTGTAGTTCCTGTCTTCTTATATTAATAAGAAAAATAAAACAAAATAGTGGTAAAGATTTGGGACAGCGAAAATTTTGGGGGATGGTATGGAGAGATAATGGGCGATGTTTCTCAGGGCTGCTTCGAGCGGCATTAGGGGCAGCGTGGGAACCTAGAGTGGGAGAGATTAAACTGAAGGAAGATTTTGTGGTAAGGGGTGATATTGTGGGACTGTTAGAAGAAATATTTGTCATTTAGAATTATTGGTGATGGCCTGGATACAGTTTTGTATGAATTGAAAAAGTAAACGGAATAAGAGAAGGAGAAAAACAGGTATTAAAGGTCTAAGAATTGGGAGGACCTAGGACATCTAATTAGAGAGTGCCTAAGGAGATTCAGCATAGTTCTGCCAGCAAAGATTATTTATTTACTTCAAGAGTTAAGAGTGGCAGTTTGGGGGTAGCACCAGGAGATATCAGCTGTGATGGCTTAGAGAAACAGTGTAAACCGGCAGTGTAAACAAGAGCAGGGCATTTATGAGTAGTTGAGAACGGTGAATAGGAGTATGACTAGACAGAAGATAGTAGGGATGACAAGTTTCTTGGGGCACAGTCTAAGTTGGTCTGGTGTCTGGAATGAGACTGGGGCCTAATAAAAAGGAGTGTCCATACAGGAGCTTAAATGGGCTGTACCCTGTAGCATTCCAAGGACAGGCCTGAATTCTGAGAAGGGAAAGTGATAAAAGTATTGTCCAGTCCTTTTTAAGTTGGTGGCTGAGCTTGGTGAGATGTGTTTTTAAAAGATCATTAGTCCGTTCTGCCTTTCCTGAAGATTGAGGATGGTAAGGGATATGAAGGTTCCACTGAATACTAAGAGCCTGAGAAACTGCTTGGGTGATTCGACTAGTAAAGGCTGGTCTGTTATCAGACCGTATAGAGGTGGGAAGGCCAAACTGAGGAATTATGTCTGAGAGAAGGGAAGAAATGACAGTGGTGGCCTTCTCAGACCCTGTAGGAAAGGCCTCTACTTATCCAGTAAAAGTGTCTACCTAGACTAAGAGGTATTTTAGTTTTCTGACTTGGGGCATGTTGAGTAAAGCTAATTTGCCAGTCCTGGGTGGGGGCAAATCCCTTAGCTTGATGTGTAGGGAAGGGAGGGGGCCTGAATAATCCTTGAGGAGTAGTAGAATAGCAGATGGAACACTGAGAAGTTATTTCTTTGAGGATAGATTTCTACAATGGAAAGGAAATGAGAGGTTCTAAGAGGCAGGCTAGTGGCTTGTACTATAGCATAGCCTGCCTTTGCTGGTGTGTGGCGATTAGGCCTGGTGGAACTGCTATCAATAAATCAAGCCATAATCAGGGTGAGGAACAGGAAAGAAGGAAATACGGGGACATTGGATGAATGTCAGGTGGATCAGAGGGATACAGTCATGGGGGTCAGGTGTGGTATCAGGAATAATGTGGGAGGCCGGATTGAAGTCCGGGCCAGGAACAATTGTAATTGTGGGCGACTCAACGAAGAGTGAATACAGCTGAAGGAGCTGGGGAGCAGAAAGTATATGTGTCAGGTGGGAGGAAGAAAATAGATTTTGGCAGTTATGAGAACTGTAGCGAGTGAGTTGAGCATAGTTTGTGATTTTTAGGGCCTCTAAAAGTATTAAAGCAGCGGCAGCTGCTGCACGCAAACATGAGGACTAGGCTAAAACAGTAAGGTCAAGTTGTTTGGACAGAAAGGCTAAAGGGTGGGGTCCTGGCTCTTGTGTAAGAATTCTGACCACACTAACCATGCCTAGGAAGGAAAGGAGTTGTTGTTTTGTAGAAGGGATTGGGGTTTGGGAGATTAGCTGGACACGATCAGCATGGAGAGCACATGTGTTTTTATTAGAATTATGCTGAGATAGGTAACAGATGAGGAAGAAATTTGGGCTTGACTGAAGTAATGGGGGCTGTCTTTGAAGACTTGCAGCAGTACAGCCCAGGTAATTTGCTGAGCCTGATGGGTGTCAGGGTCAGTCCAAGTGAAAGCAAAGAGAGGCTGGGATGAAGGGTGCAAAGGAATAGTAAAGGAAGCATGTTTGAGATCTAGAACAGAATAATGGATTGTGGAGGGAGGTATTGAGGATAGGAGAGTATATGGGTTTGGCACCATGGGGTGGATAGGCAAAACAATTTGGTTGATAAGGCACAGATCTTGAACTAACCTGTAAGCCTTGTCTGGTTTTAGGACAGGTGAAATGGGGGAATTGTAAGGGGAGTTTATAGGCTTTAAAAGGCCATGCTGTAGCAGGTGAGAGATAACAGGCTTTAATCTTCTCAAAGCGTGCTGTGGGATGGGATGTTGGCATTGAGCAGGGTAAGAGTGATTAGGTTTTAATGGGGTGGAAAGGGGTACATGATCGGTCGCTAAGGAGGGAGTAGAGGTGTCTTATACTTGTGGGTTTAGGTGGGGAGATACAAGGGGAGGATGTGAAGGAGGCTTTGAACTGGGGGAAAAGGTGGCAGTGAGGTGTGGCTGTAGCCCAAGAACAGTCAGGGAAGCAGACAATTTAGTTAAAGTGTCTCAGCCTAATAAGGGAACTGGGCAGGTGGGGATAACTAAAAAGGAGCGCTTAAAAGAGTATTGTCTAAGTTGGCACTAGAGTTGGGGAGTTTAAAGATGTTTAGAAGCCTGGCCGTCAATACCTACCACATTTATGGAGGCAAGGGAAACAGGCCCTTGAAAAGAAGGTAATGTGGAGTGGGTAGCCTCCTTATTGATTAAGGACTTACTTTCTGCTGTGAGAGTTACTTGAAGCTCAGCATCCGTGATGGTCTAGGGGGCTTCTGAGGCGATCGGGCAGTGTCAGTCTTCAGCCGCTAAGCTGAGAAGAGCTGGGAAGGAGTCAGTCAGAGAGCCTTGGGCCAGAGTTCCAGGGGCTCTGGGAGTGGCTGCCAGGTGAGTTGAACAGTCTGATTTTCAGTGGGGTCCTACACAGATGGGACACAGCTTAGGAGGAATCCTAGGCTGTGGGGCATTCTTTGGCCTGGTGGCCAGATTTCTGGCACTTGTAGCAAGCTCCTGAGGGAGGAGGTTCTGGAGGAAACTCTGGCAGCTGCGGTTCAGGCATTTGGAGTCCTTGTGTGCTGGAGATGTGGCTGGGGTTTGTCTCACAGTGGAGGCAAGGAATTGCAACTCAGAAATATGTTGCTACTTGGCTGCCTCTACTCTATTATTGCATACCTTGAAGGTGAGGTTAAGTCCTGTTGTGGGGTTTGAGGGCCAGAATTTAATTTTTGGAGCTTTATTTAATGTTGGGAGCAGATTGGGTAATAAAATAAAATGTATATTGAGAATAAGACGGCCTTGTGACCTTTCAGGGTCTAGGGCTGTAAAGCATCTCAGGGTTGCTGCTAAAGGGGCCATGAACTGGGCTGCGTTTTTATATTTGATGAAAAAGAGCCTAAACACTAACTGATCTGGGAGAGGTAGGATAAAGAAAAAGGAGCATTAAACTTAACTATGCCTTTAGCTCCAGCCACCTTTTAAAGAGGAAATTGCTGGGCAGGTGGGGGAGGGCTAGTAGCGGAAAGAAACTGTAAGCCGGACCAGGTGTGAGGAGGGGAGGTGATAAAAGGATTATAGGGTGGAGGATCGGAGGCTGAGGAAGAATTGGCACCTAGCTCTGCCTGGCTAGGAGGAGAGAGGTGAGATGTGTCTGTAGAAAAGGAAGATTAGAAAGACTCAGCAACACTTGGGGTTGGGACTGAGGGGACCGGCGGGAGGGAAGGAAGATTTGGGATGAGTTGCATTGGGAACAGAGACTAGGGAGGGACCAATGTATAAAAGAATGCCTGGACATCAGGCACCTCAGACCGTTTGCCTATTTTACGACAAGAATTATTTAGATCTTGTAGGACGGAAAAATCGAAAGTGCCGTTTTTTGGCTATTTGGAACTACTGTCGAGTTTGTATTGGGGTCAAGCAGCATTGAAGAAGAAAATAAGGCATTTAGGTTTTAGGTCAGGTGTGAGTTGAAGAGGTTTTAAGTTCTTGAGAGCACAGGCTAAGGGAGAAGGAGGAATGAAGGGTTGCCCATAGTGAAGGAGGCAAGTTTAAAGAGCAGGGTAGAGACACAGAGGGAAGGGGTTTGGGGGTTCTTACCCTCCAGAAAAGCAGGAAAGGGGTTGGGGCATGGAAATAAGGGGTTGGAGCGCAGATATAAGAGGTCGGGGTGTGGAAATAAGGGATCAGGGTGCAGAGATAAGAGGTTGGGGCACGGAAATAAGGGATCGTGGTGCAGAGATAAGAGGTCGGGGCACGGAAATAAGGGATCGGGGCGCAGAGATAAGAGGTTGGGGCATGGAAGTAAGGGATCAGAGCACAGAGATAAGAGGTTGGGGTGTGGAATTAAGGGATCGGGGTGCAGAGATAAGGGGTCGGGGTGTGGAAATAAGGGATTGGGGGATTCTTGCCCCCAGAAAAGCAGAGAAGGGGTAGAGACACGGAGAGAAGGGGTTGGGGGGTTCTTGCCCCCTAGAAAAGCAGTACTTGCCACTAAGGGTGAAGGAGAAGGGATTGGGGGGTTCTTGCCCCCCAGAAAAGCAGAGAAGGGGTAGAGACATGGAGAGAAGGAGTTGGAGTGTTCTTGCCTCCCAGAAAAGCAGTACTTGCCGCTAAGGGTGAAGGACCAAGGCAGGTGTTCTCGCATGGTCAGACACCTCTGAAACATGGGTGAATAATCAGAGAGGCGTCCCTGCAATGATTAAACACCAAGGGAAGGCTGCCTTCCCGAGTCCATGACCGGCGCCGGAGTTTTGGGTCCACAGATAAAACGTGTCTCCTTTGTCTCCACCAGAAAATGAAAGGAATTGAAATTAAGAGAAGGGAGAGATTGAAGGGTGGCACCAAGATTGAAAGGAGAAAGTGGTTGAGGGATAGTGAGAGACGTTGGAGAAGTGAGAAGAGGCCACTTACCTGATTTAAAATTGGTGAGATGTTCCTTGGGCTGGTGGGTCTGAGGACCTGAGGTCGTAGGTGGATCTTTTTCATGGAGCAAAGAGCAGGAGGACAGGGGATTGATCTCCTAAGGGAGGTCCCCCGATCCAAGTCACGGCACCAAATTTCATGTATGTCCGTGTGAAGAGACCACTAAACAGGCTTTGTGTGAGCAATAAAGCTTTTTAATCACCTGGGCACAGGCGGGCTGAGTCCGAAAAGAGGGTCAGCAAAGGGAGATAGGGGTGGGCCCGTTTTATAAGGTTTGGGTAGGTAAATGAAAATTACAGTCAAAGAGGGGTTGTTCTCTGGTGTGCAGGAGTGGGGGTCACAAGGTGCTCAGTAGGGGAGCTTTTGAGCCAGGATGAGTGAGGAGAAGGAATTTCACAAGATAATGTCATCAGTTAAGGCAGGAACCGGCCATCTGGATGTGTATGTGCAGGTCACAGGGGATATGATGGCTTAGCTTGGGCTCAGAGGCCTGACAGTTCCAATTGTTTGTGCATCTTTAAATCTATACTGATATGTAGCTGGGCCATTGTGAGGCCTCTTGATGCCCATTAATACACTCTTAAGTTCAAATCTGTCTCCTAAAATCTCCTTTCTTCTTTCTCCCCCTCTCCCACATGACTACCTACTTACAGGCCATGCCACCCCCTACTGTTACGATAGTTTCTGTCCTTACCTTCTCCCTTGTACACATTCCTCTGAGAAATGTACTTTGTGCTAAACTCAGCTTCATTTTCATCCTAGATTTAGTCCCTCTGGAATTCTGGTGAATAAAACTACTCATACCATTATGTATTGACATTATTCAAATCTTTGTGGTTCTCCGTAAAGAGCAGCATAGTATCTATTTCTGCAACCCAAGAGCTCTTCTTGCTTGCAGTCAGTCAGATTCTTATGGGTCACCTCTTAAGTTGGTTCCAAGGCTTAGTCTAGAAAATAAGCTGAGGCATGGCTTCAGACTCCTCTTTCCCCCATGTTCACTGCTTCCTGGAATGTTTAAAGGAGTGTGCTGCCTTTGTGTCTTGGGAAAATTCATCTGTGTAACGGTTTGCCTCTTGATTTCCCTCTGCAGCACAGATAAAGCAAATGTGGGCGATTTCCAGCCCAGATGGTTTCTATAAAACTTTAGAGGATTTATATGCTGCCCAGGTGGTCATGGTGAAGCAGTGAGGCACTAGCACATGTAAATCAGTGGAAATACTCTCAAATATGAGCCATAAGTTAGTATTGAGGTAGTCTCTGATCAATATTATGTAAAATATATTAACACATGAATTGGGACCTTGTTTGATTTAATTTGCTTCAAGAAGCAAAGACAATTTCAGGTCCACTAATTACAGCCCAAAATCTTGAGTCTGAAGTCTATCATGAAGTCATTTTTTAAACAACTTTATTGCGATATAACTTCCATATCACACAATCCACCTATTTAAAGTATGGAATTCAATTTTTATTACTATATTCACATAGTGTTGCAACCATCACCACAATATGATTTTAGAACATTTTTATTCGCCCAAGAAGGAACCCCAAACCCGTTGGCAATCATTCTCCAGGTCATACCCAAAATACAGTCCCTAAACAACAATTAATTTCCCCTCTGTCTTTATTCACCTATTCTAAAAACAATATAAATAACAATCATATAATATGTAATCTTTTATAACTGACTTCTTTCATTTGCAAAATGTTTTAAAATTTCATCTATATTGTAGCAGGCATGAGGACTTTATCCCTTTTCATTGCCATGTAATAATCAATTGCATGGTGTTATGTAAATGAGCTAAATGTAGACTTTTTATATGTACCCTTAGTTTATTTCTTCACTACAAGTTGAGACCCATGAGCTCCAAACCCCACCAGAGTCAAACTCAAATTTTCATACATTCAATTGTTTTAAAAATAGTCCAAACAAGTAGATTTTTAGCCACTTAAGAGAGTGTCTGATTTACTTACCCTTCAAAACCTCACCCCACACCTGCTAGTAATAGATAAGCTAGAGCTTTGTGGTTATGAAATCCAAGCTGCGACAGCCCTTTGGATCTCTCTGACCCAGAGACACCTGACCATGCTGCTTAATAACATCATTTGTGTAAACCACCTCTCTGAACCCCCTGTCCTCTGGATAATAGCCCCTATCATCAGCCCCATGCTGCAAGGGATGTGCACTCTCATGTGAGGCTGTGCAAACACCACCCACTAAAGCTTGTTGTGTGTTAACTGCTTCTCACAGTGACATCATTTTCCTTGATCAGTCCCCAAATCCCTTGAACCCTCTACATATGAATATATGAGATTTTGTTCATCAAATAATCCCATTGGTTTTTATGTAATTTGTTTCCACTGTTCGGCTATGATTAATAATGCTGCTGGGAGGTTATGTATACAGGTTTTTGTGTGGATGAGTCTTTTCCATTTTCTCTTAGGTAGATACCTAAGAGTGAAATTTCTGGATCATCTCATAAACTCTATATTTTAACATTTTGAGGAACTACCAAAATAATATCCAAAAAAGCTCCACCATTTTACATTCTTAGCAGCCATGTGTGCGGGTGCTGATTTTTCACATCCTCCTTCAACATTTGTTACTATGTTATTTTTCTATTATAGCCATCTTCACTGTGGTTTTCGATTTGCATTTTCCTAGTGACTAATGAATGGTGTTGACAGTCCTTTCATGGGCATATTGTCCATGTGTGTATCTGATTTGGAGAAATGTCTATTCAAAGCCCTCTCTCATTTATTGATTGTATTATCTTTCTATTGAATAATAAATGGTCTTTATATATTTGAGATACAAGTCTCTTGTCAAGTGAATAATTTGAACATACTTTTTTGCATTCTATGGGTTATCTTTTTACTTCCATATCTGTATTCTTTGAAGCAAGAAATTGCTAATTTTCCTAAAGTCCAGCTTGTCTTTATCTTGTCACTTGGGCTTTTGAAGTCATATATTTTTAAACACACTGAATTGCCTATTCTATGTTTGTGTGTAAGAATCTTACAGGATTAACTCTTAAATAAGGTCTATGATCCATCCTGAGTGAATTTTTGCATATGGTGGCAGTAGAGGATAAAAGTCATTTTTATGTGGATATCCAATTGCCCCAGGATCATTTACTGAGAAAATAGAGACCCTAAAATAAACTTATTTTTAGGCAACTGATTTGCTACAAGCAGTATTAGATACAATGGGCCTGGGTCAATTGGATATCCACATAAAAAAAAGACTAATTTAATCCTCCACTGCCACCATATGCAAAAATTCACTCAGGATGGACCCATTTATTTTAGGATCTCTATTCCTTTCTATGGCTTCTGGGTGTATACTTATGCCAGTACCACATTGTCATGCTTATTGCAGTGGTGTTTTGAGCTTTAAAAGTGAAAAGTGTGAGTTCTCCAAATTATTTACTTTTTTGTATAAGACTGTTTTTAATATTCTGCTGGGTCCCTTTCATTTCTACATGAATTTTAGAATGAACATTTCAATTGCTGTACTATCGTGGCTTGAATTTTGACAGGAATTGCATAAGGATCAATTTGGGGTTATTGTCTTCTTAATAATATTAACTTTCCAATCTATGAACATTTTATGCCCACTCATTTACATAGACATTCTTTAATTTCTTGCAACAATGGTTTGTGGTTTTCAGCATATGCATTTTTCACTTCTTTTGTTAGGTTTTGATCTAAATATTTTATCTTTCAGACACTATTATAAATGGAAGTATTTTCTTAATTCAATTTTCAGTGCCATTTTTAATGGCATTCAATTTTAATGACATTTCAGTGTATAGAAATACAGTTGAGTTTTGTATATTGATCTTGTATGCTGCCAGGCCTCTAACACTCTCCCTCTGTTTCTCTCTCTCTCTCTTTCTCTCTCACACACACACACAAACACACACACAAATATCTTAAACTATATGTATATACTTTAAAATATTTACTAAGCTATATATATATATATATATATATACACACACACACACACTTTAGGATATTTAATATAAAAGATCATGTCATCTGCAAGTTGAGACAAATTTTTTTCTACCTTTCTAGTCTGGTAAATTTTCCCTCTTTTCTTGTCTAATTTGCCTAATAAAACCTCCATTAGAATGTCGTAAAGACACGAGGAGAGTGTACCTTCCTTTCTTGTTTGTGTTCTTGGAGAGAAAACATGCAGTCTGTTACCTTTACCATGATATGACTTGTGGAGACTTGTTAGATTATCTTTGTCAGCTTGCAGGTGTTTTGTTTTCTTCCTACTTTGTTGATTGTTTTTATCAATAAAACATATTGAAAATTATCAAATACATTTTCTAGATCATTGACATGATCCTCTGTTTGTTTTGTTTCTTCTTTATTCTATTGACATGGGTATTACATTAAATATTTATTGGACATTAAACCAACATTGCAGTAATAAGATAAATCCCATTTGGTCATAGTGTATAATCTCTTTCGTATTTTGCTGGATTTGCTGTGCCAGAACTGTGTTGAGAATTCTTACATTTATATTCATAAGGGATATTGGTATTCAGGAGGGTGTGTGTGTGTGTGTGTGTGTATGTATGTATGTGTGTGTGTTTATCTTGTCAAGTGTTGGTTGGATTTCAGTATTGTAATGTTAAAGGTCGCATAGAATAAGTCAGGGTATGTTCCCTCAACTTCTTTTTTTTTTTTTTGAGTTTACAGAGGTTTTATATTAATTATTATTGAAATGTTTGATAGAATTCAACAGTGAAGACATCTTGTTCTGAAATTTTCTTGGTGGGAAGTTTTTGAAATTGCTAATTTGATCTCTTTATGTGTTATAGTCCTAATCAGGGCTTCTAAACCTTTGAGGTAATATTATTAATTTTTGTCTTTCTAAAAATGTGTCCATTTCATCAATGTTGTTTAATTTGTTGGCATAAAGTTGTTCATGGTATTTGTTATAGTACGTTTTTTAATTGTTAGAAGGTTGATAGTGATGTTTCTTCTTTACTGATTTTAGTAATTTCATTTTTTGTAATAATTATAACTAAGCATTTGTTAATTTTGTTAATCCTTTCAAAGGAACAATTTGGTGTGTTTATTTTATCTATTGTTTTCATTCTTTACATTATTAATTTCCACTTCAGTCTTTATCTTTACTACTTCTGATTGTTTTGAGTTTAGTTTGCTCTTCTTTTTTTCTTCTTTCTTATTGGGGTGGTTAAATTATTGATTTGAGAATTTTTAAATGTAGGCACTTACAGTTATAAATCTCCTTATGCTCACTGCTTTGTTACATACATTTGTATGTTCTATTCTAGTTTTAATTAATCTCATTTTTTTAAAATTTCCCTATACTTTATTCTTTAAATAATTGGTTATTTTAGACGGCATTGTTTGACTTTTTCACCTTTTAATTTCCCCAGTTACAGAAATTCTCATATTTTCTTCTGTAGTTCTAAAATGTACCGAAATTTTTTTTCTGCAGTTGATTTTTAATGTAATTATATCTTAGATGAAGAAGGTATGTGGTAAAATTTTAATCTTGGTTATTTCTTCTCCCAGATCAAATCTAGTGTTGAGCTCCTCTAGTAAATGTTTTCATTTCTGTTATTCTATTTTTCATCTCTGTAATTGCCATGTGGCATTTAAAAAGTAAATTATCTTTTTAATAACATTTTCATTTGATGAGATATTATCAACTGTCTTCCTTCCTTTAATTCTTTATGCATTGTTACATTTGGTTCTTTCAAGATGTTTATAATGTTACTTTGACATTTTTGCTTGCCAAGTCCACTGTCTAGGCTCCTTCAATAACTAGTTTCTCTGATTTCCCCCCATCCCAGTGTGTGGATCCCATTTTTCTGTTTCCTTGCATGTCTTAACATTGTGGAAAATTGACTTTATAAATACTATATTCTAACAGTTCTAATTACTGAACCACCAGTCCCTTTCCTGGGGGTTGTTGTTATTTGCTTGGTCATTTATCTCTTAGTGAATTGGATGAACTCATTTTGCGGAATCTTTTACCCCCACAGTTTTCAGCCTCTGCCTGCTCAGAATTTTTCTGTTTTCTATCTTTAATCATGGCCACATATGACATTGTCTAATGTCAGTGTAAACAGCCTGCTGGTCAATGGCTGTTTGTAAGCCCCCGTAGCCAGTTAGATTTTTACTTTTTACCATTGTACTGCTGCGTCTGAGTCAGAGTAGCATGTTGTTCAGTCAGTATTTGGTATGAAGTTTTATTTAAGCCCTTTGTGCAGGTGGGGCTCCTGCCACATCAAAAGTTTTGTGTTTACCTTGGGGGACACTTTCACAACTGCCTCATGCCATGCGGTGGTTGGTAGTAAGAAAGCAAGGCTTACTGTGTATAAATTACCTTACCAATTTCCAGAGTTGATCTTGGTCCCATGAGAGGTCTTCTTGATTGTCCCTTTGCGTGTATCACAGAGCCACCAGCTTCCTCATAATTGCTACCTGCTGGGTTTTTACTACTTTCAACATCAGACAAGGAGTTTACACTCTGTCCAAATAAAGTATGCCCCCTGAGACAAAGCTGTAGAGCCCTTTGTCCTTTTGGCCTCTGTTTCCCCTGAGAGGAATGTCTATACCAATGCAACAACACTGGGAGTTGGGACCCTCATACCCTGTAGTGATACCTTCCCTTTTTAAGGGGGCATTGGTGGTAGTAGTGGTGGTGGTGATAGGGATTGTAGTCCTTAGTCTTCTCATTTACCCCTACGAATGTGGAATTTCTGCTCTACAAGAAACCTAAGGCAAGGAGAGGAGGTCCCAGTATGCTTGACTTGGTGGGTCTGAAACAGAGCTTTTATCCTCTGAGAGGGGCTGGGGAAAAGGAAGTCTTGGTTCTCTCCTCCACACCCACTAGAAATAGTGTTTCTACAACTCAGGACTGGCAAGAAGGATGAGAAACACAGCTGGCAATGAGTGTTATTTTGTTTGCTGAATACACTTAAGACCATTTCTAGAGACTTTAAATGATAATTATTAAATAATTGTCTCAGTGAACTTGCTGCTTTGCTGTGTAGAATGTCAGCATAACTCTTTACTCTGCCATTCCAGAAGCATTGCATCCTACTTTTAAATTTCACTCTCAGAATGCACCTATCATCATTTTTTTAAATTCAGTCCCGATTAACTACATAAAATTGGGAATTCAGAAAGATCACACAGGGGTATGATAGAGTCTAAGTGGCTTCAGACAATTTTGATGGTATTACTACAACTGGAATTTTCTCCAAACTTACTCTGAGCTGATTTTCTGAGCAGCTCACCATCAATCCCCAGTGGGTGGCTTTCTGGAAACTTTCTTAAATCTATCCCTGTAGGAGCATTTTCCATTATTTTGTTGATACAGAATTTGAATGCAGTTTGAAAATTCAAAGTATTTTCCATCACAGTTATCCTTCTTCAACACATGGTTAAATAATCAAAATGGAGATCTTGAATTTTTATGAAGATTTCTATACATTACAAAGCAATGTCTAAATAGGACTCAAATTATTTTTTTCCCATTCTTTTTTTTCTTTTTTTGAGACAAAGTCTCACTCTGTCACCCAGGCTGGAGTGCAGTGGCATGATTGCGGCGCACTGCAACCTTTGCTTTCTGGGTTCAGGCAATTCTCCTGCCTCAGCCTCCCAAGCAGCTGGGACTACAGGTGTGTGCCACCACACCAAGCAAATTTTTGTATTTTTTAGTAGAGACAGGGTTTCACCATGTTGGCCAGGCTGGTCTCGAACTCCTGGCCTCAAGTGATCTGCTTGCCTCGGCCCCACAGAGTGTTGGGATTAGAGGTGTGAGCCATCACACCCGACCTTTTTTCCCCATTCTTGTCACATCACTTCTTGTAAACTCGTTCAGTGTCTGACAGAAAGTAGATTGTACCTTATTTTAGCCATAACTGAGTCCCAGTTTCCCCTCTTCTGTACATCTTATATTAGGATAGTATACTTCTTACAGGTGAATAACCAATACTGATACATTATTATTATCTAAAGTCCATATTTTCTTCAGGTTTCCTTAATTATTACCTATGATTATTTTAATATTCCAGGATCCCCTCCATTGCATTTAGTTGTCCTGTCTGCTTAAGCTCCTCTTGGCTTTGACAGTTTCTCAGATTTTTCTTATTTTCAGCAACTTTCACCATTTTAAGAAGTACTAGTGAGGCATTTTATAGGACATCTCTCAATTGAGACTTGTCTTATGATTAGAATGGGGTTATGGATTTTTGGGTGAAAGACCACAGAGGTAAATTATCAATTTCAGAATACACTGTCAAGGGTTTTCAAACAATGCAGTTAAAATCACACCACAAAAATAAAGATGTGATCGATTTCTTTTCTCCTTAAAGAGAGAGATTCTGTCTCTTGCCATAAAGTACTGGAAAGATGTCCCATGTTGAGTTTCTTTTTTTTTTAACATTTTTTTTTTCTTGGCTTGTAGGAGATACCAGTAGCAGCCATTTTCATTTCAGTAAAACTAGTAGCAGCCATTTTCATATCAGTTAAAATTCGGGCCGGGCACGGTGGCTCACGCCTGTAATCCCAGCACTTTGGGAGGCCAAGGCGGGTGGATCACAAGGTCAGGAGTTCAATGCCAGCCTGGCCAAGATACTAAAAATGCAAAAAACAAACAAACAAACAAACAAACAAAAAACAAATTAGTGGGACTTGTTGGCACGTGCCTGTAATCCCAGCTACTCAGGAGGCTGAGGCAGAGAATTGTTTAAACCCGGGAGGCGGAGGCTGGAATGAGACGAGATCACGCCACTGCACTCCAGCCCGGGTGACAGAGTGAGACTCCGTCTCAAAAAATAATAATAAAAAATAAATAAATAAATAAATATATAAATAAAATTCAAATAGCATATTTTGGCTTCCTAACATACTTGAGAAGTAGGGAGTAGAATCTGGACAAGCCAGAGAGGCAGGATTAATGAACCCCATAAGTTAAGATCATTGAGTAATAATCATCTACAGACACCTCTGTTTTGCTGATAAGAATTAGCAGAGATTGGTTTACTATGTCTGCTTCTCAGCAGGCAGTCTATAAAACAAAAGAGTGAGTGTTAAGGGTTTGCTATACCAGAGAGAGAGTCATATGTCATTTTGGGATAGGTTTAACTGGAACCAAAAAAGCTGCATTAGGGATGTATGCTCATTCCCAAGGCTTTTCAAAAAGTACCATGTTTTCCTGAACAAAGCTTAAAATTTGCATAACAGTGCCTGTTGAAACCTTCAAATAATTTTCCTGGGAGTCATATTCTTAAACTATCAGATTTGCTTGAAGTCTTTAAATATTTACTGATTATAATGCATTTCATACAATAGGAAGCAGAAAGCTTAATTTATGAAGTTAAGTCAAATAAAATAATGTTTTCAAGGTGAAGAATAACATTAAAAAATATAAAGCATATTGTTGACATTTTAATATTTTTTGGATTACGTAAGTTATGCTGCCATTGATTTTTTTTAATAATATGGAAAATAAAGCCTTCCCTTATATTGTTCAATGGGGATCACTTTTGATTACTATTTCAAATTAAAGGGCCACCTATTCACAAGAGGAGGTGGGGGAGGTTGTATTATTTTCCTTTTAAATTTTAAGAAGTGCCCTTGAAAAATTACTCCATAGAATATTAATTTAAAATAGACCACAAGCATAGTCACCATTAAAGAGTTCTCCAATATGCAGTTAGTATTAGAATGCTACCCATAATAGAGAACACCTTTTAATAATTAACAAGTCTTTCAGCTTAATAAGTTGTCCCTGACAAAGAGAACCCTTTCAATGTAATTTATATTGAATATATTTGCCCTTTTTCAGGAGTTATTCTTAAAAGCAAACACTCCCCATTTAAATAAATAACTAGGGAAACCACAGCCTTTGTATATCTTTTAGCTTTGGAGGCACACTTCAAGGAAGTGTTACTGTCAGTGAGTATTTCACAACTAAATATCTGCTGCTTTGATATATGACCATTTAAAAAAAAAAATCCCTCCTGCTAAAAGGGATGTTGGGCTCCAGAGAGTCATCATCCGAGTTAAGAAGTCTTTGAAAAGTCACTCTGGCTCTACAAAAGATGAGGAAGCATAGACAAATATAAATATTTTATCACTGTACCTGAAATCAGGTATATGGAATACAACCTACTTCTGGTGATGTCCTTTGTAGCAAATCTGTCTTCCTTAAGGTTCACATATTTCCATAGGGTACTGACCTCCCAGAATAAGCTTTCTGTTCTTGCTTTTATAACAACACCATTGGTGCTGGGGCAAGTATACCCAGGTTGATGGCTTGATATAGTTTTTCCTTGTAATTTAGCCTGTGTTTCATGCCTGGGGGAGTTGTTTGCCTTTCACTTAAGAACTGGAGTCCTTCAATCTCCTTGCATTATTATTGTTGTGATATAGCACTTTAAAAGCTCCCTGGCTGACAACCGTGGCCAGAGTCTGGGATCTGCTGGGAGCAGCATCCTGTACTGAAAATAACATTGGTTCATCTGTTCACTGAAGGACTGTAGTGTTATAGAGACTTGAAATGGATTTTAGGATTATAAAACAATGACAGGAGTGAGGAAATGCACTCACACACGTTCTCATTGAGGGATGAGATTGAAAAATATTTACTTAGTCATATTTATTGTATAGCTCCACAAATAAAAGACCATTGTTGATTGTGTCCTCACAGTTCAAATGCTACTTAACAGATAGTTACTTAGCATAAAACTATGCTGTGAATTCATGTAAAATGATACTTCAGATCTTTCTTGTTCCAAAGTCAATATTTTTATTAATCCATTAAGTAATTTATTTATTTTTAATAATATCAATGCCAGAAGCAATCCTCAAATGTAGAATTGTCAGGTAGGTCAAACAGGCTGCCATCTCATCTATCGGACCCCAGAACTACATCCACAGTTCAAGATCACTAGGAAGAGCTCCCTGGAACAGTTGGAAACCCTCATACCCTCTTTTCTGTACAACAGCTATTTCTTATCACTCAACCTGGTGACCTGTTTAGTGCCTTGATGGGCTGTTGGAGCACTTTCTGAATTTTCAGTCACTGTGCAATCCTATGAGAACAGTGACCATGTCTATTATTTCCTACCTCTGCCTAAAATTATGTCCTTCCCAGATCTTTGTGGGTGGAAAGCTGGGAGTCTTGGATCTCTGGACTTCAGAGGAACTATATTGACCTGATAGCTTAAATCTCCTAATTTTACAAAAGAGCTAAATGAGTCTGAAAGCTTAAGCTGCCCAGTATTGAAATACCTGCTTAGGTTTTGAAAAATAACTTGAAACTCAAGTTTGCGGGCACATATTCCTTGTTTTACTAGGATTGGAAACCCCTGAGGTTTTGTGTATTTTTATATCTATTAACAGAGGGGCAACACCGTAGAGGATCCAAGAGTATGAGCTCTGTAGTCAGACTGCCCAGATTCAAGCCTGCCTGCTATGTACTAACATGTAGATCATGGTCAAGTCACTTAACATCTCTGTTCCTCCATTTCTTCTGTCAAATGGGTGTAATAATACCACCTCCTTCACAGGGCTGTTATATAGGCATAGAACATACAACACTATGTAGAACATTGTAAGTTTTCAATAAAGGTTAGCTATTACCATTCAATGAATTATTCATTCAAACTTAACAAAGATGTACTTGGTGCCTACAATTTGCCAGGTAATAGTGTAGACCCCAGGAACAGAATGGCTGATAAAATAGGCATCATTACTCCTCCCTAGCTTCTCTTTACGCCACCACTCCACCCAGAAAAGAGTAAACAAATAATCACATGAGTACACTCCTAATATAAATTACTGTTATTACTGTTATTAACATGAGTTAAAACTAAGGAGTTTGGACTCAGGAAAGGAAGAGAATGGCAAGGGTTGAACATGCAGAGGTCGATTATGCAGGCCTTGTTAAATTCGTAAATGTCATATTAAAGTTCTGGATTTTAATACGTGCAAGGAGAAAGTTTTATGTTTTTAATTACAAGTGCTTCTGCTAAGTGTGATATGCAAGTTTTTTAAAAGCTCTGCATTCTGCAAAATTCATATTAAAATAACAGAGCTCATAGAGAAAAAAGATATGTGCAGATCCCCAAAACTCATGCAATTGCCACTAGCAATCACCATCCCAATGAAAATATCAGCAAAAATAAACTATTGCTAAATAAATATCTAGTAAACATAAAATTCTACTCTTAAAAAAGAAGGTAATTTGATAACATGGATACAAGTAAAGTTCAGCCTACTTTGAGAGAGAAATGCATAAAAATCTGGAAGAAACACAGCACAGTATGATAGAATTTGTGTCCAACAAGAGCCAAAGTAAGAACAGAATGTGGGCCTGAGGGAAATGGGCATCATGTTCTACGTTGCACTCCTCTGTGGCTCCAGTTAACTTCAGCTTTATTACCATAGTTTGCATTTAGCTGCTGTTGTTTCCTGATGCAAACTGTTTATGTGTTGGTGAATTAGCTTATGAAACAACACACAGTAGTCACCCCTTATCCTGCGTCATTTTCCATGGTTTCAGTAACCGGTGATCAACTGCAGTCCAAAAATATTAAATAAAAACCTACAGAAATAAACAATTTATAAGGTTTGAACTGTGCACCATTTAGAGTAGCATGATGAAATTTTGCACCATATACTTCTGTCCCACCTGGGATGTGTATAGTCTCTTTGTGCAGTGGATTCAAGAGGTAGACACTCCCTACCCATGAGTCACTTAGCCTTCTTGGTTAGCAGACTGACTGTCACAGTATCGAGTGCTTATGTTCAAGAAAGCCTAGGTTACTTAATAATGGCCCCAAAGTGCAAGAATAGTGATGCTGGCAACTTGGATATGCCAAAGAGAAGCCATAAAGTCTTCCTTTTATGTGAAAAGGTGAAAGTTCTCTACTTAATAAGGAAAGAAAATAAATCATATGCTGAGGTTGCTATGGTAAGAATAAACCTCTCCATGAAATTGTGAAGAATGAAAAAGAAACCCCTTCTAGTTTTGCTGTCCCACCTCCCAAAACTGCAAAAGTTACAGTCCCATGATATGGGCTTAGTTAAGATGGAAAAAGTATAAAATTTGTGGGTGGAAGACATAAACAGAGATGTGTTCAGATTGACAGATAACAGCTTCGGTACTATCCTTGGTTTCAGGCATTTCCTGGGGGTTTTGGAACACATTCTTCACATATAAATGGGGACTACTGCACTTTGCATGTTAAATTTATGTTTCTCTCTAATTACCAATCACTTATTCACTAATTTTTCCACACTATAGACACATATTCTAGCACAATCAACAGATGGAAAGTGATGTGAGTGGATGGAAACTTCTGCAAGATTACTCTGGTAGGGAGCCACAGCTCAGATTTTAGACACATTTGACTTCTAAGCGAAAAGGAGAATTTGGACCAGACTGGCGGCAATGATGATGAATGTTGTCATATGTCCAACCTCAAAAATCTCTAATATACAATAAAAAGACACTTGTCTTGAGAGATGACCTTAGATGTCAGTGTTCTCTAAAGTCTGAGTGTTGATACCTCACATCCCCAAAATAGTGAAAGAAAAGGTTTAATAGAACAGGAAGGCAGAAATGCAACCTAATGGCATATTCTAGAATAGATTTGGGAAGTCAGAGTTTCTGTCACCCATTTTTCTCCTTGTATTTATCTCCCAATCTGAACTGATATGCTTGGAATAGGATTGGTATGAGTATGGGATGAAACATGGAAGAAACAAAAAATTTAAGAAATTAATACACCTTGGAGGTTAACCCTAGCAATTTAAACTTAAAAACAAATGAGAAAAAAATACATTACCATGCTTACACGTTATTGAAATAGATGCAAAAGATTCTCTGACTTTCTAACGTATTTTTACCGCAAACGTGATGGAGTTCATGTTAGATATTTTACTTTGAATGTTAAGAATAAATTGCTTAAATAGAAATCACAGTTTGTGATTCAAACTGTATTGTCTAAATCAGTGCTGTCCAATTGAAAATAATTCAAAATGTAAATGTGAGTTGCATATCAAATGTTAATTTTCTAGTAAGCACATTAAAAAATTGGAAAGAGGCCAAGCGAGGTGGCTCACGCCTGTAATCCCAGCACGTTGGGAGGCTGAGGCAGGTGGATCATGAGGTCAGGAGATCGAGATCATCCTGGCCAACATGGTGAAACCCCGTCTCTACTAAAAATAAAAAAAATTAGCCGGGTGTGGTGGCACGCACCTATAGTCCCAGCTACTCGGGAGGCTGAGTCAGAAGAATCAGTTGAACCCAGGAGGCGGAGATTGCAATGAGCTGAGATTACGCCACTGCGCTCCAGCCTGGGAGACACAGCAAGACTCCATCAAAAAAAAGAAAAAGAAAAAAGAAAGAAAGAAGCAAAATTAATTTTAATAATGTGTATTTATTTATCCTAACATATCCAAAATATCATGTCAAGTGATAAAAAAAAAGATACCTTCCTATTTTTTGTACTGTCTTTGAAATTCAACATATAATTTAAAAGTAGAGCACATCATGATCCCAAATTGCCAATTTTTAACTAAAAAGGCACATGTGACTAGAGGTTTCCATATTGGACAAGGCAGATCTAACTTAACTTTTTATAAATATTATTTTGTCAGAATGAAAAGATGCAAAAAAAGACAACTTACGGTTTTGTCAATATCTAACAGTTACAGTTACACTCTTATAAAGAAGAAAAAAATTTATATCCGGTTTTATTTTATTTTTTTTAGGTTTGCCCTATAAAATACTTTCAGAGTATAACTTTTGGACACTCCTCATCTCATATCTTATCTCAAGTATGGTGAATTACTATTTCCACATTTAATGTTTAAATTTCAATATTTATAAAGAACTCATTAAATGTTTTTATTACATTACACATAAGTGAATACACATTGTTCTGAACTGCAGCTGACTAGTTGACAAAAACACCATGTTTTATAGACATTTAATTAAACATGCATTGATTTGATTTTAGTTCTCTTGTTTTGGAAGCATTATATATATTTTCTGGCTTCCAACGTTTTCGGCCTTTAGAAACCTTATAGGCTCGAAGCACTGTGACCCTAGTGCCAAATGCATAAAATCACCCTTGTTCTAGAGCCACGTTTCATCATGCCTGCTTAGAAAATATAGGAATGCTTTTATTCCTTTAGACCTCAGTGCAATTATCACCTACAACAGGTTTTGCTAACGTAGGTTTTACCCTCAGGATATTCTTGTTTGCTTTTTTTTTTTCCATTTGCATAATCTGCCCTCAGTTATTTATTTGACTGTTTATTTTTTGTTTGTGATTTTAGAGAGGCAAAGATTGTGTCTGTTTTTTTATCTACCACATAATTAAAGACAGTGTGTTATAGACACTCAATGAATATTAGATAAGTGAATTTAAAAACGCTTGTTATAAGAAAAAGTTCAAAGGTCATTTTATCTAAATGCAGAGTAAAAGCTCTGCATCTGGTAGGGATCCAGCTTTTCTCTGAGCTACACAACGTCTATAAAGTAATACTCACATTGTCAAGGTTTCTGGTATATCCAGGCTAGAGAAACATTTTTAAAGAAAATTTAAATTTATAAAGACTTAAAACATTGTATCCATCATTTACATTTTAGTAAGATGATTCGCTTTTACATTTAATAATTTATCTTGTTCTTTAGATCGTCTGTATCTTTCTATTCTCTAACTTCAGGAACTTTTTGCTTTTTAAAAATTGTTTTCTTTATTCTCTACATTGTGGTTCTTAATTTTGGCATTTTTTGCTCCCCTAGGGGATATATGGCAATGTCTGGAGATACTTTTTTCTTGTCACAAACCAGATATGGGAAGGGGTGCTACTGTCATCTATTAAGTAGAAGAAAAAAGTGCTACTAGAAATCTTAAAATGCACAAAATAGCTTCCCAGCAATAATGAATTATCAACCCTAAGATGTCAATAATGCTGAAGTTGCAAGATCCTACTCTAACTTAATAGCTCACTTTAAAATAGTGGTCTGTATTTTTCTCCTTAAAATGATTTGCCAATTTTTTGAAAATATCATTTCTGTTTATAATGCACCTTTTGCTTCATTGTAACTAATATTTTCTCAAGTCTGTGAAAAACTCAGATAATTTATCCAAGTTAAAATGTTGAATAGCGGTGACCGTTTACTAATATAATTCTTTTATAGTCTTTCTTCTCGGTTTCCTTAAATGTTGGCAGATATAATGAGCGTTGTGATGAATATCATCATGCAATTTCATTAATTTAATGTATCTTTGTTCATCTATTTCATAGGCCCCTTTAGATGGAATATAATACAGCAGAAGCCTTTTCATCAAAAGGATTAATGCCTGCATCATCATTTCTGCAATAAAACAAGAAGCTAAGTGGTGGAGGCCACAGACACCTCAAACCTGGATTCCACAATTCTACGTTAAGTGTTGGAGTTTTTATTACTCTGCTGTAGGAAAGCCTTTGCCAATGCTTACAAGGAACTGTTTATCCCTGCTTCTCTGGGTTCTGTTTGATGGAGGTCTCCTAACACCACTACAACCACAGCCACAGCAGACTTTAGCCACAGAGCCAAGAGAAAATGTTATCCATCTGCCAGGACAACGGTCACATTTCCAACGTGTTAAACGTGGCTGGGTATGGAATCAATTTTTTGTGCTGGAAGAATACGTGGGCTCCGAGCCTCAGTATGTGGGAAAGGTAATGGCGTATTTCTTTTGACAACCGCTTGATAGGAAGGGGGAATATGCATTGTGTATTTTGTATGGATGTTTTGCACAGGAGTTGAACAAACCAGTGACTAGAACACTGGAATTGAAATCCAAGAGACCTGGTTTATCTTCCTGACTCAATGGCCCGGGTAAGCTTCAGAATATCATTTAAACCCTCTTTGCTTTAATTCTTCCTGATTATTTTAATGAAAATAGTATATATTTCGTTCAATTTTTGACATTCTTTGCTGAAGACATGAAGTTAAAGTATGAAAATGTTATTAAGCATAATTATAACCATAGTTAGAAGTATAGTATCAGTATAGTTATATCATTTTTATTGCTCACAGCCAAATTGGAGATATTTAGCAATAAGAGACACAGAGAAGAATCACCAGGCATAAATAATCTAAACTGATCTTGGTGTTCTTTAATGACAAGAATGTATTTCTTCTCCTTTCCCGTTAAAATGTGATGTGCCATTTGGATTGTGGTTCTGAAGTATTCGATTTGGCTTGCTTAAGCTTTATAAATAATTTATATATTTTCAGCAGATATTTATAAGTGTCTTTATGGCTGAAGTAATAAATTTTGGAACCCAAATATGTACACATCAACAGAGCATGCAATTTAAATATCTTATTGCAACTTTATGGAAATTTAATTTTTTTCACAAAATACTCGGTGGCAACTATCTGTTTCAGGACAGTTATGTTTTACTGCTTTTTTTTCCATTAAATTGTTTTCACCCATGTCTAGAACAGTATAACTTGTCCACCACACCAAAAAAAAATTTCCCCAAAAATAAGTATTATATTTTATTTTGATTTTGTGAATTCTTTTTAAGTTTTGTAAAAGATATTGCCATGGGTTTTGATAAAGAAAAATTGATGCTTGAGGAGAGTTTAAAATAAATCCAAAGTCATAATTGGAAAACCATCATAGGAAGAGTGTTTGGAAATGGTTATAGAAGATCATGACTCTTGAGCAGCAAATCCCTTGAGCTTTCTGAAAACATAAACTAAAGAGATATATAATAGGTTGTATGATTCCAATATTAGGTCAAAGGAGGAATATTCATTTAAGATCTGAATTATTTCTACCACACTTAAAATAAATTACATTGTGGAAATGTATTTAAAGGATATTAAATTATACAGTGGAAAAGTTCTTTAAATAGAAACTTTGTTGAAAGGGACATATAACCAGAGTTTCCACTAAGGCATATGTGGTCCCAGGCAAATGATTTTTGCAGGGCACCTATCTATGTTTAAAAATTGAGTCACCCCAAATCAAATCAGCCCATAAGTACCATTCTGGTCATCCAGTCTCAGTGATCTTACAAATACACACGCGCACACACACACACACACACACACACACACACTGCCATTAAGCAAGAACTATGAACTATCTCCTTTACAGGCTGCCTACCAGGAGTCAGGGGCTGTTCAAGTGGCACGGGGCCAACCTCATAGTGCAATCCCTAAAGATCCACAGGGCACTTATGAACCTGTAGGTTGAGTAGAATGTCAAAGTGAGCCCCAAACGATAAATGGACACTGAGACCCAAACATTTCCAGCCTAGACCAGAATGACCTTCTCAGATCACATTGCCACCCACAGATAGCCTTAGTCACATAAAAGGTCTTGGAAAATTTTGAGGAAGTCACTCCAAAATATGGAAGTCCCCGGAGGTTACTGCATAAAGCTTCTGCTTATATAATTCCTCAAATATGATTGTGGAATATAACAATCACTAACATTTCTATGGTAAGATAATTTCATGTGGTTCTCCTATACTTGTTTCTTTTGAATTAATTTAATGTAAGAATGGAATTTTGAAATCCAAGACAAATGGAAGGGGAACATAATCTAAAAGTCTGCAACATAGATATCAGTTATTTCAACTCTGTTTATGACAGAAGCTAGACATCATATTGAGGTTCCTGACAAATTCTCTGTTTTTGATTAGAGAAGATCGATAGACCTCAATTTCCAGAATTGGAGGTAATAAAGTTGAAATTAGGTTAAAAAAATAAAACTGACATTTATTAGAACCTAGATAGCAGTAGTATTTCATCTCCCCGAACAGTCCATGGGATTGTATATGCAAGTTTTTGCTTGATACTCTGAAATTCCACTTTATAATTGCGGTAACAGTGTATAATTCATCCAGTTTATTTAAAAGAGGAACTAGTATTTATAAATGTAATTAAAAAGGAGTAAGTCTAACATCTAACCTATTATTACATTTAACCAGCATTATTTCCGCTGGTACAGGGCTCCACATTGATAATGGATAATGAACACTCATGGTTCTCAAGCAATGTACATTTCTAATGCAGATGAAAGAGTGGATGCCAAGGTTTCTTTTCCATCAGGAAACTAATTAAATTTTCATTAACTCTGTCTTGATGCTTCTAGATTTGAGAATAGAAATATGATAACATGGGGACCAATTTAATCCATTATATATGTATGTATAAACATATAAATATATTTATGCTTCCACTCATTCCAGAAAGACTTTGAGATTACTCATAGAAAAGGAAAGTATTATAAATAATATAGAACTCAGAGCAAAGGAAAAGGGCTAATGCAAAAATGCCTAGGAAAAGTATCAGTTGTCTACAGTTCACCATTGGACAACTTGGGGGGTTAGGAGAACTGACTTCTCCCCAGCACAGTTGAAAATCCAAGTGAAACTTTTGACTCCCCCAAAACTTAACTACTCGTAGCCTTCTGTTGACCCAAAGCTTTACTGATAGCCTAGTCAATTAAAACATACTTACATGTTAGAATACATATAACATAAACATGTTATGTTTATATATGTATATATGTATTATAGACTATATTCTTACAATAAAGGAATCTAGAGAAAAGAAAATGTCATAAAGAAAATCAGAGGAAGTCAAATACATTTACCATTCATTAAGTGGAAGTGGGTCATCATAAAGTTTTTTTTTTATTATGCTTTAAGTTTTAGGGTACATGTGCACAACGTGCAGGTTTGTTACAGATGTATACATGTGCCATGTTGGTGTGCTGTACCCATTAACTCATCATTTAACATTAGGTATATCTCCTAATGCTATCCCTCCCCCCTCCCCCCACCCCACAACAGGCCCCAGTGTGTGATGTTCCCCCTTCAAGTGTCCGAGTGTTCTCATTGTTCAATTCCCACCTATGAGTGAGAACATGTGGTGTTTGGTTTTTTGTCCTTGCGATAGTTTGCTGAGAATGATGGTTTCCAGCTTCATCCATGTCCCTACAAAGGACATGAACTCATCCTTTTTTATGGCTGCATAGAATTCCATGGTGTATATGTGCCACATTTTCTTAATCCAGTCTATCATTGTTGGACATTTGGGTCGATTCCAAGTCTTTGCTATTGTGAATAGTGCCACAATAAACATACGTGTGCATGTCTCTTTATAGCACCATGTTTTATAATCCTTTGGGTATATACCCAGTAATGGGATGGCTGGATCAAATGGTATTTCTAGTTCTAGATCCCTGAGGAATTGCCACACTGACTTCCACAATGGTTGAACTAGTTTACAGTCCCACCAACAGTGTAAAAGTGTTCCTATTTCTCCACATCATCTCTAGCACCTGTTGTTTCCTGACTTTTTAATGATTGCCATTCTAACTGGTGTGAGATGGTATCTCATTGTGGTTTTGATTTGCATTTCTCTGATGGCCAGTGATGATGAGCATTTTTTCATGTGTCTTTTGGCTGCATAAATGTCTTCTTTTGAGAAGTGTCTGTTCATATCCTTCGCCCACTTTTTGATGGGGTTGTTGTTTTCTTGTAAGTTTGTTTGAGTTCATTGTAGATTCTGGATATTAGCCCTTTGTCAGATGAGTAGATGGCAAAAATTTTCTCCCATTCTGTAGGTTGTCTGTTCACTCTGATGGTAATTTCTTTTGCTGTGCGGAAGCTCTTTAGTTTAACTAGATCCCTTTTGTCAATTTTGTCTTTTGTTGCCATTGCTTTTGGTGTTTTAGTCATGAAGTCCTTGCCCATGCCTATGTCCTGAATTGTATTACCTAGGTTTTCTTCTAGGGTTTTTATGGTTTTAGGTCTAACATTTAAGTCTTTAATCCATCTTTAATTAACTTTTGTATAAGGTGTAAGGAAGGGATCCAGTTTCAGCTTTCTACATGTGGCTAGCCAGTTTTCCCAGCACCATTTATTAAATAGGGAATCCTTCCCCCATTTCTTGTTTTTCTCAGATTTGTCAAAGATCAGATAGTTGTAGATATGCAGCATTATTTCTGAGGGCTCTGTTCTGTTTATCCTCATCGTCTTCACATTGCATAGGCTGAGGAGGAGGAAGAAGAGAAGAAGGATGTTCTTGCTGTCTCAGAGGTGACAAAAATGGAAGAAAATCCACATAAAGTAAACCTATGCAGTTCAAACTTACATTGTTCTAAGATCAACTGTACTATCTTTAGCCTCGAATATGACTTTCTGGTTCTTGGTAGAAAGAGCGTATGTGGAAATCATTAATTTGTATAGTTCCCATTGTCAACTCCACATTTTTAGGGACCAATTGGTTTTCTTACATTCAAATCTAAAAGAATGTATTCATGTAGAAATTTGTAGAGGCAACTGAGTGACTTGGGTGACATTAGCTTCAACAACCCTTGTATTTAAAGAATCAGATGTTCATGCTGATATCCTTGCAAGAAAGCACAAACTGTGCTATTACTTGAACAAAAATGTTACTTTACTTTGTATACAAATAAATCACAAGGGTATACAGAGGTAAAGCTTTCCTCACATACACACTGTGAATTTAATACATTACCTAGATAAGTATGTTTTCATACTGTACAGTAAGAAATAAATTAACTTTATCTGCAAAAATTTGTACTTCATATGTTACCAGTTGCTCAAACTAACCACAAGCAAAACACTTGCATTATTACAGACATACATATACATGTGCACAAGTGTGCATACACACACCAACATGATTTATGCTTATACCAACATGGATAATTGCAAGCCTGTATCTGTGTGGTACTAAGTTTTTTCATAGCCTCCAAGTTAGGTATCCAGAAATGCTGCCTCTTTTATCCCCGAAGAATAATTTAGGAAATTGAGTTGTCATTTCAGATAAATCCCTGTTAGCAGCAATTCTTAAATCTAAACTGTTTAAAAGGGCAAAAAATAAAGAAGTAAAACATATATAAACCCTAGTTTCAGAGACATCCATTTATTTAACCTATTTTTGATGAAGAATGCATTACAACTGAGACAGTATTAAGCCTATAGGAATAAATGTAACTATGAAGGTCTCTAGATTACAATTATAAAAGTTAAACTTTATTGAGTGCTTCCTTTGGGCACAATTTTAATTGCTTTACAGACATATACTTACATATCTGCAAAAGAACACTATGACTGATCTTCTTATTATTGCTATTTTACATATCAGAAAACTGAGGCACAGAAAAGTTAAATGACTTCCACATATCTCAACACCCAGTGGATGCTTAAGCTAACATGTCAACCAGGTGGTCTAGCTCCATTGCACCAGAAAATATCATGGTTTATTATCCTGCCAGGCTCTTAAGTGCTAACAATCATTTCAATACTCTATTAAACTAAAGTGTTATAATAATAGGTGGGAATTGAACAATGAGAACACTTGGACACAGAAAGGGGAACATCACACACTGGGGTGGGGAGAGGGGGGAGGGATAGCATTAGGAGATATACCTAATGTAAATGACGAGTTAATGGGTGCAGCACACCAACATGGCACATGTATACATATGTAACAAACCTGCACATTGTACACATGTACCCTATAACTTAAAGTATAATAATAATAATAAAAGCCTAAACACACACACACACACACACACACACACACACACACAAAAGTGCTATAATAGAAACACTGTTGGGAAATGTCTATGACTCCGTCCAAAAGATGGAAGAATTCAAGAAAATCATCACAAATGAGGAAGTACCTGAGATGAGTCTTGAAGGATGATTTAATTTTTCTAGAAGTGGTAGTATGGGGAAAAGTTTTTGTAAGCCCTGAGGCTTGAAACTTCAAGGTGAGCCTAGGTAGCCATATTTCAGTAAAGTCAGATGGTCAGAGTGTAAAGCCAACTACTTAGAGTGAATAAATACAGAAAGTATGGAAAGGTTCAATTCTCATACCCAGATGAGTAGCATTCTTAAAAGTATAAAGACCCATAAAATGCCTCGTTTGAGGATTAATATTAATGGAATTGCAATTCTAGAATGACCGATCAGACAGCCAATTAAAAGATGCATTGAAGACGGGGAAAAAGGTGTAGAGATAGGGAGAGCATCTGCAGGAGAAAGTTACAATAGGCTTGTGTAGGAAGTACAATGAAGGAAATGGGAAATTAGAGTAGAATATTTGAAAGGTGAAGAGATAATGAAAAATTTCAAGATTCATTGATCATGGCAATGTAAAGGATGAGACAAATTAGAGAAATATTGTGAAGGCAAAATCTGCAGAAATTAGTGGGTAATTGCATACAGAGAATCAAAGAAAGGGAAGAATAAAAAATGACACAGATTTCTGACTTCTGTTTTATTAGTATCCCTTGTAGATTTGGGACTCAAGTAAGAAATGAAATAATTGGTGTTGAACATCCTATGCCCTTAGTTACTTACAAGTACACAGGTGAAGTATATCATAGATATTTACATACATTAATCTAGTGTTCAAAGAGAGTAATTGGAATACAGATGGTAGTTAAAACCATAAGTGGTTAATATACTCTAGGGAAAATTACAGATAATTTAAGAGAACCCTGATTTTTCATTTCAAAGCAGATGAAAAAAATTAGATAGATCTAATTAGTAAGAGGCAAAAGGCAAGCATTAGTGTCATGGAAGATAAACCAGGAAAAAGTTTTAAGAATAAGGAATGACAACAAATGTTGAACTCCACAGGCCAAATTAAGTAATGACTTAAAATGTTCCATTGGTTTTGGTAACTAGTGATCCAGAGGTGACTTTTGTCAAAATAGTTTTAATGGTTTTGTCTAAAGCATAAAGAAAGAAAAAAGAGATGTGTACAGCTCAGAGATGATATTTCAAAAGCATAAATGAAGGAGACTGAGGAATGCCCTGTTGATATTCTCAGTTTAATCCTACAGATATTATTCTAGTTAGGATTCTCCAGAGAAACAGAACAAACAAGACATGTATATAAATAGAAAAAAAGAAAATATTATTTATTTATTTTTAATTTTATGCAAACAATTTTATTATTATTTTTAAATTTAATTTAATTTTAAATGCCAGGATACATGTGCAGGACCTGCATGTTTGTTAACATAGGTAAACATGTGCCATGGTGGTTTGCTGCACCTATCAATCCATCACCTAGGTATTAAGGCCTGCATGCATTAGCTATTTATCCTGATGCTCTCCCTCCCCATCCACCCCTGACAGGCTGCAGTGTGTGTTGCTCCCCTCCCTTGTCCATGTATTCTCATTGTTCAGCTCCCTATTATAAATGAGAACATGTAGCGTTTGGTTGTCTGTTCATGTGTTAGTTTGCTGAGGATAAAGGCATCCACGTCCTTCCACGTCCCTGCAAAGGACATGATCTTGTTTCTTTTTATGGCTGCCCAGTGTAATTTAAAAATTCAATTCTATTCTCATCAAACTACCATTGACATTCTTCACAGAATGTGAAAAAATCTGTGCTAAAATTCATATGGAACAAAAAATTATTTTTAAGAAATTGGTTCATGCAGTTGTGTAGGTACAAGTTCAAAATCTGCAGTGGGGCCTCTAATCGGATGACCTGGGGAAGAGTGCCATTCTGAGCCTGAAGGCAGTCTGCTGGAAGAACTCCTTCTTGCTCAAGTGACATCAGTCTTTGTTTTGTTAAGATCTTCAGCTGATTAGGTGTGTCCCACCCACATAATAGAGGCTAATCTATTTTACTCAAAGTTCACAAATTTAAATATTAGTCTTATCCAAAGAACACAGAAACACCCATGATCATGATTGATCAAATATCACACCATTGTAAGTCCACCCTTTGTCAACTTGGCACCCGTCCACTTCCCCTTAAACCATGTTTAATCACCAAATAGAGATAATAACAAGGTCATACTTCTAGCAGAATATAACTGTCTTGCATGCAATGAAAATACACAAACCTTTTTTCTCAGAAAAGAATGTAAAGTCCTTGGGTTTACTCATCTTGATGTCCCGCAACTTGGTGTAAAATTAACGATTTTTAAATACCATGATATCAAGTCAATACATTTTGTGTTCCATGATAAGGGGATAGGAGAGGGAAGAAAAAAGATATTAAATATATCATATTTAAAATAAAATAAGGAAGAAGTACTTGTAATGATTATAGCCCTCATTTCCATCACTGGTCATGTATCATAGCTTGTATTTATAACTGCCTTTTTCCATTACTGATTTTGTATTACCTTTGCTGTCAGCAAGCAACTCAGCTGGTAGTGGCTCTTTACCTTGTGGGGAGACAAAACCTTAATTTCTGAAGGGTCTGATCTAGACCGTTACTAGTTCTGCCTAGATTGGTTTGTTGTAGTTTTCCATTGACTTTAATCACAGGGCAAGGTAATATAAGGGGTGCCCTAAGGAATCTCCAATATTACAGACACACTCTTCCTTGCATCCATTGTGGGGTGTCAATCCAATTTCCCATTGGCACTCAAGATGAATCACCCCAGACAGCACAGTAATTTCCTTCCTTACCTGTTGATTTAGGGGAATGAGGAACTCAGAGAGGCTGGGTGGCAGTCTCAACTTCCAGTTAAATGGAACTATTGTTTTGTGTCCTGGTGGAAACATGCCTCCTTCTGGAACTAAGACCTCTAGACCTGCATAGCATAACACCATAGGGTCAAGAAGCAAAATTTTTGCTAATATGTCACCAGGAGTAATAGTGGTATCACACTCATTTCTACCTCATAATTGCAGACCAGTCACTTCTGGCTTGAGATTTATTCCTGGCTGTGGAAGAAATAGTGCCATATATTGGATGCTGATTCAGAGCATTTTTAGTCTCCTAGAGACCCCCTTGCCCCAGCCCTGCAAGGGATTGGCACCTATCTAGCACTGTAACTGAGGCTTCACAAGGCTATTTCACCCTCCCTTCAAGCTAGCTGCTTTGGACTGGTGGGAAACATGGCAAAACCAATGAATTCCATGAGCATGGGTTCATTACTGTACTTGATTTGCTGTGAAGTGAGTGTCATGATCAGAAGCAGTGCTGTGTGGAAGATCAGGATGGTAGATAAGGCATTCTATAGGTCACAGATGGTAGTTTGGCAGAAGCATTATATGCTTGGAAGGAAAATCTGCATCCAGAGTGTTTGTTCCAGTAAGAACAAAATGCTGCTCCTTCCATGATGAAAGTGATCAAGTGTAATCAACCTGTCACCAGGTTGCTGGTTAATTTCCTTGGGGAATGGTGCCATATTGGGGATTTACTGTTGGTCTCTACTGCTGAAATGTTAGGTCTTCAGCAGTGGCTATAGCCAGGTCAGCTTTGGTGAGTGGAAGTCTGTGTGTTGTTGGTCTCATGCCAACATGGCCCCTTTATTTATGAGCACGTTGAATGATGACAGGAGTGGCTGCTGGAAGAGGCTGACAGGTATCCACAGAATGGGTTGTCCTATCCACTTGATTATTAATATCTTCCTCTGCTGATGTTACCTTTTTGTAAACATTCCCATAGGACACAAATATCTTCACATTTTTTGGCACATTCTGAGGGCTCCATCCCTATACCTTATCTCTTCCCCAGAACTCTTTGTCATTAATGTTCCAATCATGTCCCTTCCAAGTCCCTGACCATTCAGCCAACTCCTTGGCCACAGCCCATGAATTGATATATAATGTCATGTCTGCCCATTTCTAATTCTATGCAAAATGAAAAACCAGGTGCACTGCTAAAAGTTCTGTCCACTGAGAGGGTTTGCAGTCACTGCTGTCTTTCAGGAATGTCCCAGAGAGCCTATAATACTGCAGCTGTCAATTTCAGATGGTGCTTGCTTATCATGAAGAACCACCTGTGAAACAGGCTCAAGGCTTCTCTTTCTCTCTCAGCTGATAGGGAGCACGTGATGAGGCCATAGGTACAGGCTTGGAAAGAGAAGAGAGTGTGGCAGGAATGGGGGCATTTGGGTCTCTTCTTCATGTCAGTTACTTGTGCATCAAGGGCCTGCTGAGGCCTCATCTTGTATATGCCACTTTCATTTGATGATGGGGTAGTGCTGTGCTCACCTAACTTTATGGCTTGCTGGGTCAAGTAGCACATGGTTCATGATAAGCAGCTCAGATCACATAGGAAGTTGGTGTGCCATGATTAAGTGTTCAGTTCTCACTAAGGTCTGGTAGCAG
This sequence comes from Homo sapiens, assembly GCF_000001405.40. NCBI lineage: Eukaryota > Metazoa > Chordata > Mammalia > Primates > Hominidae > Homo > Homo sapiens. The sequence continues at coordinate 22,068,026 of NC_000005.10, read as the reverse complement.
GTTTTTGCTGTTTCTTTTTTCTTTTTCTATGTATTTATTTATTTATTTTGAGACAGAGTCTCACTCTGTCACCCAGGCTGGAGTGCAGTGGTGCGATCTCTGCTCACTGCAACCTCTGCCTCCCGGGTTCAAGCGATTCTTCTGCCTCAGCCTCCTGAGTAGCTGGGACTACAGGCACACACCACCACACTGGGCTAATTTTGTATTTTTAGTAGAAATGGGCTTTCTCCATGTTGGTCAGGCTCCATTGTTTCTAAAAAGGAGAGTATCTTTTGAAGGATACTTCATATCTTATGAAGACATCCACAGAGGAGGCAAGGCTTTGTCCCCAAATCCTAAGGGCCTGTGCTGTAATTCATCAAATGAGACCAACCAAAGATGCCACACAGCATCCCTATCTATTACTGACACTACTATTACTGCCCCCCACTGGACCTGCTGGATCGTATAGCCTAAACAGCAGAACAGTCTACGTAGCAGACTGCATCTATCTCAGAGCCTTCTTTTCATTCTGTCCCCCACTCAAAACTAGCAGCATTTCACATCACTCAGTCAATGGGCCAGAGTAATGTACCTAAATGCAAATTACTTTACCTCCAAAATCCCAAAGGATCTACTAAGTGTTGTGTCTCTTTTCTGAGGTTGTAGGAGGGACCACATGCAACAACTTATGCTTCACCTTTTCGGGGATATCTCAATATGTCCGGTAGTACTAGGCTCCCACAAATTTCAACGAGGTAGATGGCAATACATTTTTGTCAGATTTATATCCCATACCCTTTGTAAATAAATGTTTTACCAAGTACATATAGAGTAGTTGCTGCTTCCTGCTCAATAGATCCAAGCAGCATGTTTCCATGTAATGGACCTGTGTGATGTCTTGTAAAAGAAAAGGTAATCAAGATCCCTGTGAAATGAATTATGGCATAGGACTAAAGAGTTAATATACCCCTGAGGTAGAGCAATGAAGTTGTATTGCTGATCTTGCCAGCCAGAAGCAAACTGCTAATGGTGGTCTTTACCAACATTAATGGAGAAAATTTATGTGCTATTATCAAAAGCTTCATACCAGGTACCAGGGGATGTGCTGATTCTCTCAAGCAATGAAGCCACATCTGGCAAAACAGTTGCAGTTGGAGTCACCACCTGACTAAGCTTATGATAATCCACTGTCATGCCCAAGATCCATCTGTGTTAGTTACAGACCAAATAGGAGAGTAGAATAAGGATGAGTTGGGAATCAACACCCTGCATATTTCATCTTTGGTGATGGCACTAATCTCAGCAGTTTCTCCAAGAATGTCATGTTGCTTGGCTTTATTATTGTTCTGTCTAGAGGGAGTTCTAGTGGTATCCCCTTGGACTTTCCCTCAATTACAGTCCTCACTTCCACGTCAGGGAACCAGTGTGGGGAATCTTCCAGCTGCTGAGTATACAAATTACATTCTAGAACTTTGGAAGTAATCACAGAATGGGTTGAGGAGCCACTGGCTCCACTGAGATGGACCCAAGCTGAACTTCATTGGTCCGCTGACCTCCACAAGTCTTTATGCTAACTGGCAGGCCCAGTGACAATTTGGGTCTCAGAATTTATGTTAGTTCAGAGCTAATGTCCAGTAGTCCCCCAAAGGTCTGAATATTTTCTTTTCCCCAAAGTACAGTCACCCTGATAAAAAGTGATAGGTCCCTTTGGGGATAGAGGAAAAGATGGGAAGGGGGTAAGGAATAAAAGACTAAAAATTGGGTTCAGTGTATAGTGCTGGGGTAATGAGTGCACCAAAATCTCACAAATCACCGCTAAAGAACTTACTCATATCACCAACTACCACCTGTTCCCCCAAAAACCTATGGAAATAAAAAATTAAAAAAAATTAGAAACATTAATAGTATAAATTTTATAAGCATATTGGAATCCTTCCCCAAGAGATCTCAGCCTTACCTTCATTCAAGGGATTTTGGGTCTATAAACTGGTGCAAGTCTGGAAACTGATTGAGGGGCAAGGACTCTCTGTTTTTATGATTCAGGTTAGACTTTGTGTACCTGACCTAGAACCTTTCTGTTTGTACAGATCAAATAATAATTTAATAGGCTTCCTACCTATTTCATTCCTAGGAACAGGATGACCCCCTAGCCAATACCAGAAGTCTCCACAAGTCATAGCATTCTGATTGCTCTTTTGACTATGGTTTATTGGTAAACATGCCAACCTTACTTTGGCCATTGATCGCTACAACAAGGCCCCTGTCACCCAGGATCCAGTGATTCCTATTGCATTTACATTTCCCAATTCAGCAGCAACAATTCCTACTGTAAGTTCTGACCTAGAGAGCTGAGTGATCACTGGGATGCTGGGGCTCTCCTCACTAACTGATTTCTGTCTGTGGTGGTGAAAGGTGTGTCCTCTAGACCCTCCCAGTGTGGATAAATAGATATTAAATAAGAAACCCATTCTAGCGTTACCAATGTCCCTAGGCCTTTGAGTTTTGTCTTCCATTGTTAGTGACCAAAGTTGTGACATTTCACATTCATTTACTGTGGGCAAACTTTGGCTCCATGTTTCAGCCAAACAAACAAAACACAAGTTATTTCTCACTCCCCGTGCTGCAATATTAAATGCAGAGTCTCTGCTTATTGAGCCCTACCAATAAATTCCGCCAATCTAACTTTGTGTTTCTTCTGCCATTATTTCATACCCTATATATCTATTCCCACATGTACTCCCCAGATTTCTGTCTGGGTAAATTAGAAAACTCAAGTAGTTCTTTTGGTATTTAATGCATCACCTCATGGGTCACACTTGCACCTCAACTTCAGGGCCATGCAAAGACTTGGGTCTAGTTACACAACTAGAATCAAAGAGAGCAGTGAGGTGGGTCCTGGGAAGACTCAGCAGTCTTGCAAGGTAACAGCATCAGGCGAGGCCATTATAGTTTCCCTGGGCAATGCAGGGTTAATCTCCCAAGATGGAGTTAAGAAGACTTATCAGAAATTATGAGCTTAGTGTCTCCAGCTTCATCAAGGTCTTCCCAAACATGCTCATTCCAGCTTTCCAAGTGCCATTTCTTTACAATTACTTTGCTCACTTTAACAGCAGACACATAGGCTAGGAACTCAATTTTTCTTGTATTTCAGCCACTCACAAGATGAAAGTCTAGGGTTTTTTCCCAACAATCTCACGTCTGTCAATACAAGACATAAGGGTCTTTTTCAGGGCAGACAGAGAAACTGACAGGTGACTTACGTGGTACTTGAGCTGGGAATTCAAATCCCTGAGCTCATCCTTTTGTTTCTTCACTTTTTTCAGTAATGTTAGAGGCAGCCAGCCCATTTTATACATTAAATGATTATTTATCATCATTAGTTTGACAAAAATGTTCAAAAATATTATGTTATGAGCTTCAGATGCTTCGCTCTTGCAAGACTTTGGTTAGGAGAATCCAGTAGTGATATTCTACATATCTCTGTTGCCCCGTCACACCAAGGACTATTGGTGCTGTCTTTACTACTGGAAAGAGAGTCAATAGTGTATTTAAAGCTAGTCATATTAAAGAGCCACTTCCAGAAATCCCAAAACCAGTAAAGAAAACTTATTCTTAAGATTCTGTTCCTCTAGAACCACTCTTGCTACCAAATTTACATTAGTCAAAATACTCCAGAAAAACAGAATATGTGTGTATTTATCCATATCTAAAGAGACATAGATACATAGTCCTCCCTCAGTATCCACAGGGAATTGGTTCTAGTATCCCCAGAGATACCACAATCCATGCATTCGCAAGTCATGCAGTGGGCCCTGTGGAACCTACAGGTACAAAAAGTCAATCTTCCAGATATGTGTGTTTCACGTACCATGAACAGTATATTTCTGATCCACATTTGGTTGCAGATGTATCACCCACCAATACAGAAGGATGACTGTATTTATTGAACATTTCCACATATAAGTGGACCCCTGAACTTCAAACTTGTGTTGCTCAATGGTCAACTGTGTGTGTGTGTGTGTTTGTGTGTGTGTGTGTGTGTGTGTGTGTGTGTGTATCTCCATAATTGCATGAGTCAGTTTCTGATATATGAGAGAGATTTTAAGAAACTGACTCATGTAATCGTGAAGGAGCATGTCCGATCTGCAGTGTAAGCCATCAGGCTGGAAACTCAGAGAGAGTTCCAAACCCCAAAGGCAGTACGCTGGCAGAATACCTTCTTGCTTGGAAGAAGTATGTCTGTTTTATTAGGGTTTCCAACTAATTGAATGAAGCCCATCTAATCTGTTTTACTCAAAGTCCGCCAATTTAAATGTTAATCTCATTAAAAAAAAACACCTTCACAGAATCATCTAGATTAATATTTGACCAAATATCTAGTACCCTGGACCAGCAAAACTGACACATAAAATTAACTCTAACAGGAATACTAGGCCCAGTAAGATGTAAAAGAGAAGGTAATCAGTTAGTCTGTTAAAAGAAAGAAGTACTGGTTTACTATTAAGACTCAAAGGAAGTAATGTTTTAAAAGATATTAAAGGGGTAGAACCAATCAGCAATGTGCAATTTTTCTCACCAGCAAGAAACCCAAGGAAAGGATAAAAAGGGATAGATGATCAAATTGATTCATTATTGTGTATTTATAGGGTCTGTGTGATGGAAGAGAGAAGGGTGCTTACAAATGAAAAATCCAGGAGAAACCAGGATGAAACTACAAACACTAATGTCCAGAAAGACCTACCAATAAGAACATATGCTTTTATAAATACATATATGAGGTCAAGGCAGTGGCAATAAAATTTCAGTTTTTTAAAATTATATGTATAATGTTGTTTTGTATTAGAAAAAAATAAGAAAGACAAAAATAGAAGTAGCACGATAGTTACACTTTCATTGCAGAAATCATTTGTGTATTTGGAATTTCTTCTCAATTCATACTTAATTTTAGGATGACCATTTGGATCCAACAAAAATGCAAATTGTATCACCAAAATATACTAACATATTTAAAATATAGTTTTCATGGCTCAACATGTATTTATATGTTCAATTGTTCATTCCTTTATTTGGTTATTGAGTTGTGTAGCTTTTTGAGAAACTCATAATGGAGTTTTCATCATGCAGTTTACTTTGAAAGTGTGAGCTTTCAATATCAGAGTGATTCCTGTTCATTTGTGATTCAAGGCTCATAATACCAACTCAGTCTTCATAGAAGTATGTCTCAAGTTCTGTCTAATGTGTTAGTCTCCTTCTGAGTTGATAGAAATGGGAACACTCTTATTTTAAAAATGCAAAGAAAAAGCCACCTTGATACTGCTTGATTATTTCGAACCTCATGCAAACTCCTCTTGACTCCTGCATCACTTACATATCTGAGAACCTTTGCAGTGTATTCAAGTGTCCTAAATCAAAGCTTTGTTTCTGATCCATTCTGCTGCCAAATAGGTTGACCTTGCTGCTCAACAAATCATCTTTAGCTCTCTGCTTTTTCTGTGGCAAAACAGTGGAAGGAACAATTCCAGATCTTTTTAAAAGCGTTTTTAGGTAAGCCTATTGTCTAAGTGCATAGCTTGATTCTTAAACATATCCCTGAATTTTTAGCCTCTCAGTACATGAGGCTATCTTTGAAATAGTCATTTTTGAATATGATTAGACAGCAATACATTTAAGAGGAAAATGGCTTAAAAATTGAATTTGAGCAAAGAAATGACACAATATACTAATGTTCCTGGCAAATAGTCCATGTCCATTGTATGCTAGTTCTCTCTCCTTTACAATTTATTTATTGCATCTAGCTGTTTCATAATATGCTAGTTATTTCATAATAGCTGTGCCATAAAGGTTCAATGTGTTTACTTTAATTGAATTGGCGGGACCTTGAATGAAGTTCAACTATCTTTAAATCAATATATGAATACCTAAAACCAGTATTTCAAAAGTAACGAAGAACACTAAGATTTGAGCACTGTGTTTATTTTCTTTTTTCTTCCTTCTTTCTTCTCTCCTCCTGCTGTTCTAACCTATGCCTACTTATCTTTCAATCCTTCCTTTTCTTTTAACCACATCTCTTTCTTATTTATGGATGTCTGCCTGACTATAGTTACTTTAAAGTGAGGATAAGCTTTGATTCTAATTCTAGATCTCATAATCATTAGCCACGTGAAAGCACTTATGCACATGTCAATCCATATGACTAAGAATGTAGAGTGTCACATAGTACAAGTTATATTGGCACCAGAAATATCTTAAGTGCATTTTTCACCAACCACACAGTACAATTAATAAGTGTATGTGTGTCTGTGTTTATATGTGCATGCATGTGTCAGAAATCTTTTCTCTAGAATATTAGTTGGATTTCTTGGAAGACAGTACTCTCTGTGGGCTAATATTGTTGAAATTCTACAATTTGTATATTATACCAGGTGATAAGAAATGAACCCCAGTGGGATGGTTTCAGAAGAATCCTGAGAAAGGCCACAGATAACACAGAAAAATAGAGTGCACAAGAGTGAGCAGAATGATAAGGATTTCAAATTTAATATTCTCATCTTCTGACAACTTTGAATTCATGACTATATGCCATGGTTATACCATTCAAACCTATATTTGAATACGAATGAATTCTTTTGGTAAAATTTAAACGTAGCTCATATATGAGAGAAACATTCCTCTTTCCTGACTCTGAAAAAAGTAAAACCACTGTTACAGAAGGTACTAACTATATATGTTTCATTGTTCACGAGGCAAGACCTAATTTATTGCCCCTGACATTTAATCAATACACTGTATAATATATGAAATTACTATTAAGGAAGCATATTATTTCTACCTGTGGAATTTCCCACAGAAATTTCATAAGAAAATTTCCTACATAACATATATCAGTGTAACCACCTTAGAGGAGACCTTTAGTACATACTTATACTCATTATTAAAGAGTGCTGTTGCATTTTGTTGTTTTATGTCAATGTCAAGAACTATTTGTCTTCCACAATTTCATGAATGCTGAAAGAAGACATGAGATGTTTGGGTCAGAGAAAGGAATTTTTTTTACTATAGCACAATGTGCTTAACAGAATGGACTCAGTTCCCATTGCCTTCAAGTAACATAGGGGCAAAGCAGATAGATAGGCCTAATGGATTCCAGTACATGTAGTGGGTTACATGATAGGAGAGGAGCTCTGGCAACTCTTCTCCTTTGTTTCGGAGCGTGACATTTTCTCTATTTTACTGGGTAGAAGCATGTGGCCCTTTGCTTTGGAAAAAGATACAGTCTTAATTTTTCAATGTTGTTTGCTATATAAACATCATTAAAAATATGTCTCAAAAAAAGAACCTGCAGGGCTTTCTATACAAAACCCTCAGTAACCTGAGGGACCTGTGGTGAATTGAGTTCCAATCTTGTATACTGTGTTGACTTGCTGAAGCATCACCACATAGTGCTGTGACTTAGTAATGTCAGAAATCATTTAAATATCTTCCTTTGCCAGCTTACTGAATTGCTTAGTCAATACAGTTCCTTGCCTTTCTCTCATTGTTTTTATTTAATTAATTTATTTATTTTACTTGAAGTTCTGGGATACATGTGCTGAACGTGTAGGTTTGTTACATAGGTATACATGTGCCATGGTGGTTTGCTGCACCTCTCAATCCATCATCTAGGTTTTAAGTCCCGCATGCATTAGGTATTTGTCCTAATGCTCTCCCTCCCCTTGCCCCCCAACCCCCAACAGGCCCCAGTGTGTGATGTTCCCCTCCCTGTGCCCATGTGTTCTTATTGTTAATCTCCCACTTATGAGTGAGAACATGTGGTATTTGCTTTTCTGCTCCTGTGTTAGTTTGCTGAGGATGATGGTGTCCAGCTTCATCCATGTCCCTGCAAAGGACATGAACTCATTCTTTGTTCTTCTTTTTTGTTTGCAGTAAACACAAAATCATATGCTCCTAGAGCTCACATCCTTTTTCATTCTGAATCTTGTTGACACTAATTATATGAATAAATGTCCCAAGTCCATTCCTGGCTCTTAGTGATGTTGGTTTCTACAAATTACCTTCTTGATAAATATAACCTCTCTAGTATACATACATATTTTCTTACCTAAATAATAGAAGATAAGTTGTCTCTCAGCCACTGGATAATAATAATTGTTTGGCATAAACCTCTCTAAAATTGTACTGAAAACCTCATTCTTTCATTAAAATGTAAGAATTACTTTTACTATCATCAAGAGTAATTTACAGTAATAAGGAGTGGAAAGTTTATACAGAATTATTTTTTTAAACTTAACCAAGTATTCAGGGCTATTGAATTTTGAAATAACATGAGGCGGTTTGGAAATATTCACATGAATTTATGATATTTTCAGCCATCTATCATAAATAATATGAGATAATTAAAAATGTTGTTTACAAAGTGTTGAGCATTAAAATTGTGCAATGATATTTTCCAATGATATACTAAAGGCCATAAAAACAGTTCTCTGCTGTGTAGACTTATAAGTTCAGGCAAGAATTGGTAGTATTGGAGCAATGGAATTTTCTTGTGTTGTGTTGTGTTGACTAAGTCAGCTTACTTTCACAAATACATTTCAAATAGTACCTTTTAAAGCTATGCCTGAAGAACCAGTGGTATAGCTTTAAAAGTAGATACATAGATAGATAGATAGATAGATAGATAGATAGATAGATAGATAGATAGATAGATAGATGATAGATAGACGATAGATGGATAGATGATAGATAGATAGATGATAGATAGATAGATAGATAGATAGATAGATAGATAGATAGAGTACAAGGAAAACTGAACTTTGAAAATAAACCAGACAATACGAAGTGGTTGAAAACACAACTCTCCCAGTAATTTTTCCCTTTGATTAAAACCTTTTGAGCAACTAGGAAAATATTTAAACCTATCTTTCTTATTCACTACCTGATCATGATCAGAGATAATTCCTAAAAATTCTTCCTTAGCTTCATAGCTGTCTACAAATAAAAAAAACTGAATGTTTTTCTTATGTCTACAGCTGTACTCGTGTAGTATCATAAAAGAAGCACATGGGAACTAGGAATAATTTAACATATATAAAATAATTGAAGAGGCATTCTTTTATTTAAGGAATAAGAGTTTCTGAACCCATCTAAAACCCTGGCTTTAAAACTACAGTCAAAAATAAAAGTGAGATCAAAGATGATATGTTAGATACAATCAGTCAACCTTTTTTTTGTTTATTTTCCTTCCTTCCTTCCTCCCTTTTCCTCCCTCCCTCCCTCCCTTCCTTCCTTCCTTCCACTTTCCTTCCTTTTTTTCTTTCTTTCTCTTTCTTTCTTTCTTTTTCTTTCTTCTTTCTTTCTTCTTTCTTTCTTTTTTTCTCCTTTCCTTCCTCTCTTCCTTCTTTGTACATTAAAAAGGTGCTTAAGAGACTGAAAGAAAGGGAAATTTAGGAAATAATAGGGGCCATTTTAACAGATTAAAAAAAAACCCGCGGTAATCTATATACAAAAATACACTAGATCCCTCTAAAAGCAGTATCATTAAAGATTTCCAAAAAATTTTCAATATATTTTTAAATGTCAAGGAATTACTGCTGGGGACAAATACATTTGTACTTTTATAAATACATGTCAAATAGTACCTTATGAAGCCATGCCTGAAGAACCAGTGGTATAGCTTTAAAAATAAATAGAAGGCTGGGTGCAGTGGCTCATGCCTGTAATCCCAGCACTTTGGGAGGCCGAGGCAGACAGATTGTCTGAGCTTAAGAGTTTGAGACCAGCCTGGGCAACGCGGTGAAGCCCCGTCTCTACTAAAATACAAAAAATTACCTGGGCATGGAGGCGTGTGCCTGTAATCCCAGCTACTCGGGAGGCTGAAGCAGGAGAATTGCTTGAACCTGGTAGGCAGAAGTTGCAGTGAGCCGAGATTGTACCACTGCACTCCAGCCTGGGCGACAGAGCAAGACTCCATCAAATAAATAAATAAATAAATAAAAGATAGATGATAGATAGATAGATAGATAGATAGATAGATAGATAGATAGATAGAATACAAGGAAAACTAAACTTTGAAAATAAACCAGATAATAAGAAATGGTTGAAACAACTCTCTCAGTAATTTTTCCCTTTGATTAAAACCTTTTGAGCGACTTTCATTGTGAATCCTCACGTACCCTTTGGTTCTCTGGAGAACACAGAGATGCCAGTGACATATTTAGCTGCTCCACTGCCTGTAAGCAAATAGATCTTCATCATCGCTCCATGAAAACTATGCAAACACTCTATGAGTTTCCATGTAATTGAGTGATTATAAATATCTGACTTTCGTGGGTTTTCAAGTAGCAAATGTCCATTCTCGTGGTTTAAGTGGAAGTAATAGAGAGGAGGAGAGGATAGAGGAAAGCCATTTTACTCTCCAGGTATTTTTGAGAAATCTATGTCCCCAGTTTCCCTGTACCTGAATAGACAGGCTCCACAGAGTTCACTCCCTTCCGCGAGTCTGTTCCTTTCCCCCATCCCTCACCCCCGGGAGGGAAGAGAGATTCTGATATTGAGTTTGGATAAAGAATCTAAGTCACACATATTTTTTTTTTCCTCACAATTGACAAGTGCTGAGCATCCTTTAATTTGCTTCGCTGCTTAATGGCTGTTCCTGCTCATGCTGTCCTTTATTTCAGGATCAGGGAATTCCAGGTAAATATTTTGGGCAATAAAGGAAAATATAAATGTTTTCAGGAGCCTTTCAAATACAACTTTAGATAAGTGATTGGCAAACTATGGCTTTTAGACTAAGTTCAGCCTGCTGCCTCTTTTTGTAAATAAAGTTTTATTGAAACACAGACATGCTTATTTGTTTCAATATTGTCTATGGCTACTTTCACACTACAATGGTGAAGTTGAGTAGTTATGACAGAAGCTGTAAGACTCATAACACCTAAAATGCTTACTACTTGGTCCTTACTACTCAGAAAAAGAAAATGCTGAGCCTTATTAAGACAATTACAAGTGACACAACAGGATCACAGACTTGGTGTTTTCATTTGTGAACATGCAGAACTGCTCACTCCATCTTGTGTCTGAAAGATTCAAAGTTCTTAGGGGAGATGTTGGTTGTCAGAAATGGGTCCTCTAAAAAAAAATAACAGCAGGTGCAATGGAAGAATTGTCGGCTCTTTTCCGGCTTGGAATAAACTCACTGCCTCAATATCCTCATCTGTAAAGTAGGAAAAACACAAAACATCTGTAAAGTAGGAAACCATAAGGTTATCATGGGGATTACTGAATCCACATGTGGGATAATATATGTAGATTCTCAGCCAAGTGTCATTAACGTTGCTGTACTACCTTCAATCCATAATTTTTTGCCCAGTTTAGAAATTGCAGTATTTCTGAATGGCATCTAGGGATTTGCGCTTCACAGAAAGATCTCTAGATTTACCAGACTGCACGTTTCATTCCTTTGAACAAAAGAATCATATAGGAAGAATCTATCTATGTTCAACGAAGACATAGATTCTCATTTCCACGATTATTTCTTAGTTGACCAAGAATCTCCTAGCACAAGTATGCTCATGTTCCAAGCTCTCCTTCTCTTATCAAAATGTATCCATGTGTTTGGAACAATAGTAGAATATAATTGTAGATACATAGTCATTAAGTGGAAAAATTACTAGAATTCATTAAGCTCACTTTGTATAGATTACAATGATTTCTATTAGAAAGCACAGATGGAAAACATTTATTCAGAGTTAACAATATATTAGGGAATTCAGGTCAAAACCAAATATATACTTTATGTTAACAAACAAATCAGGACCATAGAGACTTGTAGCACAATTAAGATTAAATAAATGTGATTATACATAATGGAGAAAAATTTTAAACCCATTAAAAGACCCTATTTGCTTTTCCTTGGTTGGTTTAAACATTTACTCATTTTATATAACATCTGCCTTATTTATGTTCATTACAATAAAAAATGTACTAAAAAATTTTGCAAATATATAGTAAACTTTTAAAATTCTGTATTTCAAAGAAGAAATGCAAAAAAGACTTTATATTTTAGAACATCAATGTTTAAATTCAAATTGAAAAGTATTATTTATGACTATGTATTTTTATCAATATGTGCAAACATGCACTAACTAAAAATTTGTCAAGGACTTTTTAGTTTTGCCTCCACTGATAGGATTAAATACCAACCTTTAGTTATTATATGGGGCATTCAATATATTTAAGATATTGTTACTTAATTTTTATTATTTGGTAAGTTTTGAAGTGTAGTCATATTCATATTTTAAAGATTATGTTTTTATTTTTATGATTTTATTTATTAATACATGTATTATCTTGATTAATGAATGAATGAATATTAAGTGAATTTTTTTGATCAAGTAATGCTCATGAGCAGCTATTAAGTTAATAATTAGATAACTGAGCATGGGAATAATCCAATTCAATTAAGTAAAATAATTACTTACAGAAAAAAAATTTGTTCTCAATACAGTAAGCTTCCTAGGGGAGAGTTCAGAAGAACAAATAAGATTTAGAGAAATGGAAAAGAGCAAGAATTGTGAGACTTTTAGGACAAAAGTAAAATATGAGCTTAGAAGAGTAGAATGTTGTCAGGAATGAAAATGCAGGTTTCAACATACTCCCATTAAGTCCTAGGCTTCAATTGTATAGATTTACAAAATCAGGTCACTCTTACTTGCTATTTTGAAATCATTAGGAAACAAGTCCCTGTATGCCAGGTGAGCAGAATGGCTGGTTCTTTCTCAGGTGGCTTGCAGCTGTCATGAAAAAGTCTTCTTTGCAGCTGCCTCTGCAGAGAGTGAAGTGCTGACTGCAACAACCCACTCTTTATTGTGCAAGGACCAACTGATCTACAGCATAGGACTCTACTAATTTTCCAAGGCTAGAGCTGCTCCTCCTGATGCAAAGGAAGATGCTTTCTTCTCAGCAATAATCCAGTTGAATATCAGATTACACACCTGATATTAGGGTAAAATTATTAACAGCATCCATTTGTATTTTTAAAGTGGGTGACATTGGATGTCAAATTGGATGACAAATTATACAGCCTGGGCCTTAAAGGTTATGACTACGTTGTTATAATTCTATTAAATCACACACCTGCATGCAGCTATTTTGCCCAGGATATGCCCATTGTGGAATTAACTGCATTCTAAGTCTAAAACAGTATCACTGTCCTGTAGCCTATTCTTGGCTTTAACATACGATTTTCCCAATCATTATGGTGACTTTTGTTTTCAGAGATCCAGTTAACCTCTGACCTTTTGGCCTCAATCAGAGACTGTACATACATTCAGCACAGGTAATCACATCAATAGACTCCATATTACTGCCATAAAATTATTCTGCTCTTTTACAAACTTTTAGATGAGATAGATAAAAGAAAGGTAAAATCTAATTTTAACAGTCAATATAAGCTAAGACATGGGCAGATCTTTGCCAAAATGGTCATTTATAAAATTTTGCCCTCTTCTCAGTGGGAAGTTTCTTTACCATATATCTGCATATCTAAAGTAGGCCATTCTATTAGTTCTTTTAAGAACTAAGAAAAAGCCTGACCCAAAGGTAGATTCTAGTCTTCTTAGAAGGCCGAAACTAAATGAGAGGTGTCCAGTTAAAAGTTTTCTAGTTTCAAAAATATAAAACTCAAATCTCTACCAGATATCTATATATATGAATGTGAGAAATAATGGAGCAATAAGCTCACTGGTTCCTCTAGCTCTAGAAAATACCTATAACTTTTATAGAATATGAGTAGGTGAAGAAGTTAAGAGGAGGTGATGATGAAGTGAATATGGTGTTTCTAAAAAAGTTTCTTGAAAGAGTAGGATTTCTAGTGTTTAGCAGACGCTCTATATTATAGCTTAAAAATCAAATACAGAGAAGTAAAGCACTAAAAAATGCCCTTGACCAGGGAGGAGAGTAAAAACTACATCATCATAGGACATGAGCACAACCAAGTAAATAATAAAAATTAAAAAAAAACAAGTCGTGTTCTTCAACTTCTAGCCTAACTTGATTATCCTAATTGTCTTGGAAATGACTTCAGCTACCAGGAAATAATCAAAGATAATTTTCAATAATAATTGAAGATGATTCTTGGTGACTTTAAACAATTACTTAGCTGTTAAAGATATGAAGACTAAGGCAGAGGGAAATATGGCTTTGGTACAGGCTTATGAATGATAAAATTAGATTACATTTGGAAACACCCGTTAAAGGTAGGGTAAGAGTAAATGTAAGAGGCGAGCTCTAACGTTAGTCATAATTACACCTATCATCGAGTGTTTTCTGCTTTCCATGTGGAGAATATGTAGGTATTATTTTCTTAATTATCTCAGCACCCCCTAGAGGGAAGTACTATTGTCTTCTGCCTGATAAAGATAAGAAAATGGGAGCATGGGGAATTTCAGGCCATTAGTTACAGGTCACTTATGAAATCAGTGAACTAGAGTCCAAAATTGAGTCTCCCTGGATAGAAAGCCAGAATGGCAGCCACCGTGATACACAGAAGCTGTACCTGCATAGCCGGGATAACACTTGACAGTGTTTAATATGCTTCCTGGCACATAAAGCATGTTAACAGAGAGTAAAGCAAGCTCTTAAATGAGACCTGGCTGTTGGTGAAAGCTCTGGGAAGGCACATAGTGTCACACACATTATTCATCCTCATGATGTCACTTTCAAGGAGCTAAAGAGATGAAGTTGAATGGGTTATAACTTGAGACATATGTTAATTCAGTCCCTGAAGAAGGACATCACAATTACTCAATTATCAGATACAGAAAAGCTGAGGGAGTTTCTGTTTCAGTGGAAGTGAAGAGCTTTGGAGCAGCAAGACTTATAAGGCACCGTGCCAAATATTTTTAACAAATCAGAAATGCAGAGTGGTACTTCAGGCATTCTTCTTCATTTATCTGGAATGATTTAAAAAAAAAAAACAAAAAAAACGAGAGACCCTCAGTATTCTTAAATTTAAAAAAATATATCATCATTCAATAAGTAAGTGTATTAGAGATAAAACTTTCTTTAAGCATCTCTTTTAAAATGTAGTTTAAGTGCAAAATATTCTTGTTACATAAATATTAGATGCCAAAATATACAATGATATATTCCTAAGAGATTTTGAACTCTGCTCTGAAAATCCTCTTGGAATTGATGCTGTTAATTTGTTTTTATTTTTTGGCCTACTTTCATGATAAAGAATTTAAAAACCAATTACCATGATCCAGGAAACTTAAAGATAAATTTAATAAATGTAATAAATGTTTATTTTACCTGAAGAAGAGACTCCATAATGCTTTACAGGAAAAGTTATGCAGAAAACAACCAATGCCTATACCATTTGTCAAAACAAGTTTTTAATACAATTTGTTGATTAAGGAAAAACAAATCTTGCAAATCAAAAAAAATGAGTAAAATGTGTCCATTTCTTGTCTCAGTAGAAAGCAAAGGAGTGAAATAGACTAGTATAAGCAACACCTCTCAGTGTAGGTGCACAAAGAAATGTCAAAATTAAATTTCAGGTCTGTGCCTCTACACAAGTGCTTAAGTGGCAGCATGAACAGGGGATTAGAGGGAGGCAGGGTGGGCTGTCATAGGTGAACGATTCCCGAGAAAATATTCACAAACACTGGCTGAAAGGAGAAGATAATCACACATAGTTTTAGGTTGCCAGTTATGCTCATTGAAGTGAAACCAATAAATTGTAAAATAAAACAGCAACAAAACTCCCATTCTTTTAATGTTGTGGGAAAAATGTAGGAGGCCTATACTTGAAACAAGATTATAAGAGAGAAAAAAAATCAAAGAAAAATAAAATGTAATAGACAGCGTTGTTTTTAACTTGGGCTTTGTGCAGGACAAAGTGCTGAAGGCTTTCACACATTGTTTCCTCTCTTCCTCATCACATTTTAACCAAGGGGTAAATGAAGTGTGTAAAACTGTGACCCACATGTTTAAATCACAGAGAGTCACTGCAGTTAAAAGAAAATATTTCATGTAATAAAAGAAATGTTAAAATATTCTAATTGTTTACTTTCAGCTCTTGGAAATTATGAAGGAAATACATAATCTGCAAGTAATAGTTTTTAAAATCTTACTGTTTTCTTTCTTAAATCATCTATGTGCTTCCCCCGAAACATCTCTCTTTTCAAATTACACCCTTGCCTATCTCTGAAAGGGCTGTCCAGCTCTTTTTCTTTTTTTCTCAATCTTTTCACTCCCCTTTTAGTTTGATTAAGCTTCGCAAGTACAGAAGAAATGGTTTTCTAGTTAATGAAAATTAAAGATCAGGGGAGGAGAAATACTTAAAATGATTCCAGCCAGAATAATTTTTGGTGGATAAAAGAAAGACTCTTTTATTGTAGTAATTTATATATTGTCACATGTATATTATTATTTCAGAGATATCAAAAATAACACTTAGAGAAAGAATACAGCGTGACCAAGGTCACTGTTCTTTAACTGGAGTAGCCAGGATGAAACATCTTTGCCTCTTTGAAATTAGCCATATTGATTTATCCAACAGCAACAACAAAATGTTACATGGAATCATTTATATCTACCCAATATCATATTCTTTATATCATGTTACATATGTTAAAAATTATGTATAGAATTAAAATATCATATTTTATTTAAAATTGGCAACTCAATAAAGAAAGTATTATTTGGAATCTAGGTGAATTTTTCTTAGAATTGACTTTACCATATAAAAAAGCAATAACGACATCTCTTAATTATTAAGTGCCTTCTATGGAACAGGCTTAGAGTTGGAGAGTTTAAATAACATCAAGGATGGGGCAAGAGGGGGATTCCATCTCCCGGTGGGTCCATCTGCAGAAGGAGGAGCTGTCCATCTCTCCACAACAGCTGTCATGTTTTATTATCACTCTACTTTCTCTAAAGCAGAAGTTATTTAATATGCATCACAATTACTTGGAATAATTGTGGTTGTTTTAAAAAGCAGACTTTCAGATTCCTTAATGACAGCCTGAGTAAGTCTCCATAGGATGTGGGAATCTACATTTTTAACCAGGAGATCCTTGTGAATCAGATTTTCCAGTGATTGCACTTTGAGAAACATCAGAGCTTAATGAGAACACTGGTAGTAATATTGCATTTTAACATGTTATTTTTAAGATCAGTGCACATGAAACATAAAATTCTTACAATGTTTGCTGATATCATGGTTGAACTCTCACCAGGGAATCATAGGCTCCAAATTGTCAGCTTTTTCAGAAACTCTCCATGAAATACCAAGTATTGAGAACAGACTGTAATTTCCTCAATTTTTTGTAATGTGCCACAGAAAAGAGTTTAAAATTGTCACAGTTATCCAAGACCAAATTAACTCCAGGTGTGTGCAGCTGAACAGGGTGATAATTGGATAGCAGATGAACTGACATTGTAAGGAGAAAATGCATGCAATGGTTGTTTTGTTTAGAAGTATCTAACTTTTAGACATAGTAAGTTTAACCAGATATTCCTATTAGAAAATTGTAATAATAATAGCCAGTAGATTGCTAAATTTGTTTAATTAAATTAGGCACGTATTGTGAACCTCTGTGTGTCAGGTTTTGTTTTAGGCATTGGAAATACGATAAGAAGCTCACAGTCACACATATTTGAAATTATATATGCATGATACAAAATGTTGAGTGTTATTATGAAAACTTAGATTGCAGATGTGCTATAGAAATGAATAGATAATTCCAATACAGCACTGAGATGTCTAGGGAGTTGGGAAGATAGGTGGGGAAGGAGAGTTCAGACAAAAATCAGGGACGCTTTATGTAGCAGGCAATCAACTTGTGGAGGAAAGAAAAAAAAGTAGAGATACTACATAGGAAGATCCATCTGGAAAGTATGGCTGCACAAATCAATATGGACTTTTGAGGAAACTCTAACATGTTCAGAATATCGGAAGAAGCACAATTTAAAAATTTGGGAGGGGAAACAAATGATGTGAAAGTGTTTGAAATGCACCAGCTCATGAGCAAAATTCTGTGCATGGAAAGGAGCTTGGTCTTTGTTCTGTAGAAAATGGGATATATTTTATAGAGAGTTTAAATAAAAGGATGGAAATTACCACGATTTCACTTTGATAGCACTCTCTGATGGCAACATGGGCATACATCGAATATGGATTAAACTTGAGGAAGAGAATCTATGAAGACTTTGGCATAAACATCAGAGTTTAAAAATATGAAGTCTCTCAAAAGAAGGGGATGATGTTGGTGAACCGAAAAAGAAATAGCCATGATATCCTACAACAACAGTTACCTCACTGGTTTTAGCTAAGAAGTCTCTGTGTGACCATCTCACACATTATTCTGACATTAATGAAGAGAGAATTTTAGAAGTAGGACACTGAGTTGTTAAAACATGAAAGAAATGATAAGAGTAATTTTAGGTATGTTTGGATTGAAATGGAAACCAGTAGGAAGTTAGATGTATTAACAGGGAGAGAATAGGACAGACTAGAAACATATTTTAAAATCAAAGGCTGCTGAACTTAGGCAAGGAAAAAGGAAGATGACTAGAAACATATTTTAAAATCAAAAGCTGCTGAACTTGGGCAAGGAAAAAGGAAGAGGACTAGAAACATATTTTAAAATCAAAAGCTGCTAAACCTGGGCAAGGAAAAAGGAAGCGGACTCATGATCACTGGTTGACATAACATGGTGTGTCATGGTACAATGATGTAAAACTCAATCAATAGAAATAATTTTTACAAATAATTTTGTAAGAGTTGCTGAATTCTGGATATCAGAATTGTGTTGATAATAGATATAGACCACTAATTCCCAGCATATGTATATATCAACACCAGCATATGTATGTATCAATACCAGCCAGGGATCTTTAACCCATAACTTTACTGAGGCAACCTAAGAATTTGTTGACAATGATTGCATTTATACACTGTAATAAGATTATATGCTAGTCGCTCTAGAGATGATTCAGGCATAAATATAAGCAACAAACTATAAATTATATACTTTATAATGTATAACTCATAAATAATAAAAATATAGTTTCTTTTTGGAGTATGAATGGATTAATCTTTCTACTAAATTTCTATATCATCATTGTTGCATACACTACTGGTACCATACAGTTCTGTGCTGAGTTATCATTGTCTTTTCTCATGGTCCTTATTATTATTTGTAGAATGTTATTACTAACTCTGTCTGCAAATAGTTCTGACACTTTTATGTCAAATTTTTGTTTGTTTGTATTTCTCATGTTCTGCAAAATTTAGGCTGTTTGCCATGTTCTTTGCATATGATAATATATGTTCTCTCCCTTTTTCCTACTCATTCTCATTCTCCTCTCACAATTCTTTTGTGTCTTCCCCCAACCCCCACTTGATATTTTTATTTTTCCATATTTTAGCAACTTAATATTTTTTCCTTTGAATGCATTATCCTGTGTCATCAATATATCAGTCATTTTACCTTTCCCCGCCATTCAATATGACTAGATTTTAAACTAAAAAGATATTTAGCATCTTTACCTGTACTTGCACATTTTAGTGGCAAATGCCCAGAACACAACTCGAAATCCCCAACAACGACAACAAAAAAAGACGGAATTTGTTGTGGAAAACCATAAATTTGTTAAGAATGATTTTGGTCTACTGATGGATGTACTACACTGTTACAAGCATCATCAGTACTCTATCTCAATTTCTTTTGAAGTCTTTTTACCTTTTGCTTCTTTCCCTGCCTTTGTCTTTGTACATGGATTTGTTCTGTTAGATCATATGTCTCTAGGAATGAAAGCAATAGATAGAGTTAGTTTATTCCATTTTCATCCTCACAGTCTTATGATGAGAAAGAAAAAAGACTTCTACCTTGCCAGATCCAGGTTAACTCCTGTACCCAATGCATGACCAATATGTGTCCAGGCAAAAAGGGGTACAATGATTTGTCCAGCCTGTCTCACACCCCTACCCCTGCAAACAAAAGTATCCCACTTGACAGCCCTCCATAGAACACATTCATACGGAGAAAACAATATGAAGTCTCTCAAAAGAAGGGGATGATGTTGGTGAACTGAAAAAGAAGTATCCATGATATCCTACAACAACCTTTACCTCACTGGTTTTAGCTAAGAAGTCTCTGTGTGACCATCTCACACATATTCTGACTTTGATGAAGAGAGAATTTTAGAAGTAGGACACTGAGTAGTTAAAAGATGAAATAAATGATAAGAGTAATTTTAGGTATGTTGGGTTTGAAATGGAAACCAGTAGGAAGTTGGATGTATTAAGTGGACTTTGGACTTGTGGATAGGCTTAGAGATTTAGGTTTTGAAGTCAACAGTGCATAGGAGGTAGGTAAAAACTGGAAGTAGATGCCAGCACCTTCATGTGTTAGGAATTCAGCTTTAAAATCTCCTTTACCTAGCAGAGTGCTTGGCAGAAAGATGTACTCAATGCATGATGAATAGCTTAGGCAATGGATGTGGGGGGGGGTGTTTACTTTTATCTTTCATATTTTCTTTTATACCTGCATATAAAATATAGGTATGGAGACCTAAACAGAATGAGCTTATAATTTAAATTCCCAAATAAGTTGTCATTATGGAAAGTGTGGTAAATGTTAGTCAACGTTAGAAGAATTGTGGTAGCAAAAACAAAATTAAACAAAAAGATCTGGTACCAGGTGAAAAGCCTGCAGCCAAGAAATAAGAAAACAAACAAGGGTCTATAAGTTACAGTAAGAGAGAATAGAATGAATATCATGGAATTGAAAGTTTAAGGAAGGGATCCTAGAGTGAGCAGGCAAACATTTGAATAATACTGAAAGGGTGTGAGCTAGAGAATAGCTCATCACAGTTGGAGCTAGATTCAATCCATAGACAAGGATAACCTCTGAATCTTCAGGAGACCAGCTTGCTTAAATGTTGGACAACATCAAACAGAAAGTTCTGTAGACTGTGACTGAGTAGTGTGTGTTTTCAGGATTTAGGCTTGAAAGTGTTGGGGAGATGCCACCAAACATTTCTGAGACTACAGTGGGCAGCTAGCCCTGAAGACATCCTCAAACATAATTTCTTTTCCTGAGCATCTGAACAGGTGAATCTCCAACATTTAACCAAGTGGATTTATAGCACCTTCATGAAATAAAACATAGGAAACATGACGAGATGCTCACCAGTTTTGGGGGAATATTTCCAAAAGGAAAGCACTTTCTACCTCCAAAAATGAAAGAAAAAATAAATGAGTCTGAACCATAAGGAACAATTTTCTTCTAATGCAGACAATTCTGTGCATCACAGATGTAGTGTAAAAATGTCCCACTTTATGGCAGTTAACATCTTTCAACCATGTGTCACTGTATCATGCTGCTTTTTATATATATTTTAGATTTTGATTCTCTGGAAGGTAATATTTTCACATTATAGATTAAGAAAAACAACAGAGCATTAAGAAATTAAATGACCGGAGGCTGAGGCAGGAGAATGGCGTGAACCCGGGAGGCAGAGCTTGCAGTGAGCCAAATCGCGCCACTGCACTCCAGCCTGGGCGACAGCGAGACTCCGTCTCAAAAAAAAAAAAAAAAAAAAAAGAAATTAAATGACCAGTGACTTTCTCAATTTATAAAGGTAGTAGCTATTATATCTGCCCAGACAAGAATGAAAATCTTTGGATTAAAATTCAGGCCTCTTTCTACTTTGTCAGAATGGTGGCAGGACTTGGCTGCTCTCAATTAATTATTGCAGTTTTCATGTGCTGTAAAACAAATATTTTAATTAAATTGGTAATATGTTTAGTTCTAAATCTTGTCAGTTTTTAAATTATTTTTAAATTGTCCACTTTATTTGTTATATTATCAATTCAATCAGAACATCTACACTACTTGAACAAGTAAACGACCTATAGTTTTCTCAACATTGCTTCTAATTTTGTAATTCTGATTAGACATGCCCTTATATTTACATTGGCAATGCTACTTCTAAGTTTTATTTTATTTTTAGTTGGCACGTACATATTTATGAGATAATATGTTTGATATATGCATATATTGTGCAATGATCAAATCAGAGTAGAGAAATCTGAATGCTTTCTTCTAGATATTGTGGAATATATAATACATCATTTTTTAATATAGTCACCATACTGTGCAGCAAAACATAAAAATTTATCCCTCTTAACTGTAAATTTGTAACTGTTAAACAACCTGTCCTCCACCACTCCTACCACTATCCTCCTCAGCCGATGGTAACTACTTTTCTGCTTTCGCCTCCATGAGATAAACTTTTTTTAGATTCCACATATGAGTGAGATCATGCAGGATTTGTCTTTCTGTGTCTGGCTTATTTCACCTAACATAATGCCCTCCAACTTTATCTATATTGTCCCAAAAGACAAGATTTTATTGTTTTTTTTTTTTTTTGGCTGAATAGTGTACCATTTTTGTATATATATCATATTTTCTTTACCCTTTGATTCAAAGAATGCTAAAGTTGATTAGATATCTTGGCTATTGTGAATAGTGCTGCATTAAACATTGGAGTGCAAATATTTCTTCAACATACTGATTTCCTTTTCTTTGGATATGTACCCAGTAATGGGATTGCTAGATCATATAATAGTTCTATTTTTATTTATTTAAGAAGCCTCCTTACTGTTTTCCCTAATGGTTGTGCTAATTTACATTCCCAAAGAGTGTAAAGGGCTCTTTTCTCAACTACCTCACCAACACTTGTTATCTATTGTCTTTTTGATAATAGCCATTGTAACTGGAGTAAGGTGCAATCTTATTATGGTTTTGATTTGCTTTCTCTTATGATTAGCTATATTAAGCATTTCATCACATACAGTTGGCCATTTATATGTCTTCTTTTAAAAAATAACTGTTCAGACCATTTACCAATTTTGTAATTGGAATATTAGTTGGTTTGTTTGATTTTTGCTGTTGAATTGTCTGAGTTTCTCGTATATTCTTGATATTAACCCTTTGTCAGGTGAACAGTTCACAAATATTTTTTCCCATTCTATAAGTTGTCTATTCATTCTATTGTTTCATTTGCTGTATAGAAGCTTTTAATCCCATTTGTCTATTTTTGCTTTTGTTGCCTGTGCTTTTGAAGTTTCATCCAAAAAATCCTTGCTGATACAAATGACTTGTAGCATTTCCCCTGTTTTCTTCTAGTAGTTTCATAGTTTCAAACCTTACATTGATTTTTATTAGTTTCTGTATATGGTGAGAGATAGAAGTCTAGTTTTATTCTTCTGCATGTGAATATCCAAATATCCCAGTACTGTTTATTGAAAACACTGCCTTTTCTGCAATGTGTGTTTTTGGCCTGTTTATCAAAAATCAGTTGGCTATACATATGTGGATTTGTTTCTATGCGTGCTATTCTTCTCTGATATACTTTGGCTCTCTGTCCCCACCCAAATCTCATTACAAATTGTAATCCCCACATGTTGAGGGATGGACCTGATGGGGGGTGATTAGATCATGGAAGTGGTTTCCTCCATGCTATTCTCATGACAGTGAGTGAGTTCTCACTCTATCTAATGGTTTAAAAGTGTGGCACTTCCTCTTTTCCTGCTCTCTCTCTCCTGCCACCATGTAAGACATGCCTCACTTCCCCTTTGCCTTCTGCCATGATTGTTAGTTTCCTGAGTCCTTCCAGCCATGCAGAACTGTGAGTTAATTAAACCTCTTTTGTTTATAAATTACCCAGTCTTAGGTAGTATCATTATAGCAGTGTGAAAATGGACTAATACATTCTCCATGGGTCCATCTGTCTGTTTTTGTTTTGTTTTGTTTTTTGCCAGTACCATGTCTATAGCTTTGTAGTATATTTTAAAGTCAGGAAGTATGATGACTACAGCTTGTTCATTTTGCTCAAGATTGCTTTAGCTTTTTAGAATTTTTTGTGGTTCCATGTGATTTTTAGGATTTTTTTCTATGTCTTTGAAGGATATTTTTGCTATTTCCATAGTGACTACATTGAATCTATGGATCACCTTGGGTAGTGTAGATATTTTAACAATATTGATTCTTCCAATCCATGAACATGGGGTATTTTTCCACTTATTTGTAACCTCTTGAATGTCTTTCATCAGAGTTTTAAAGTCTTCAGTGTGTAGCTCTTTTCCTTCATGGCTAAATTTATTCCTGTGTTACTTAGTATTTGTAGTTACTGTAAATGAGATTAAAAATATTTTTTAGGTAGTTAACTGTTACCATATAGCAACACTATTGCTTTTTTATGTTGAATTTGTATCCTGCAACTTTACTGAACTTGTAAATCAGTTCTAACAGTTTTTTTTTTTTTCATAGAGTTTTTGGGATTTTCTATACATAAGATCATGTCATCTGCAAACAGGGACAGTGAATGTTCTGCTTTCCTATTTGGATGCTTTTTATTTTTTTATTTTATCTAAATCCTCTGGCTAGGACTTCCAGTCCTGTGTTCAATAGAAATGGAGAAGGTGGGCATCTCTGTCTTGTTTCATATCTTAATGGAAAAACTTTCTTTCCCTGTTTAGTGTGATGTTAGCTGTGGGTTTGTCATATATGTTTTTGACTGTGTTGAGCTATATACATTTGATGTCTAATTTGTTGAGAGTTTTCATTGGGAAGGGATGTTGAATTTTGTCAAATGCTTTTTCTGCATCTATTGAAATGATCATATGGTTTTTGTCATTTATTCTGTCAATGTAAAGAATCACCTTTATTGATTTGCATATATTAATTCATGTTTATATCACTAGGATGAAACCCACTTGCTCACGGTGAATAATCCTTTAATATGCTGCTGTATTTGTTTTGCTAGTATTCTGTTGAGGATTTTTGCATATGTACTTATCAGGAATATTGGCCGGTAATTTTTTTGTTGTGGTTGTGTCTTCATCTTGTTTTGGTATCAGGTTAATTCTGGTCTCATAGAATGACTTTGGAAGAATTTCCTCCTCTGTAATTTTCTGAAAAAAGTTTGAGAATAATTTGATTTTTTAAAAATGCTCAGTAGATTTCACCAGTGAAAAACTTCAGGTCCTAGGCTTTTCTTTTATATGAGGATTGTATTATTATTTTAATCTTGTTATTCATTATAGGTCTATTATGAATTTTTTTTTTTTTTTTTTTTTTTGAGATAGAATCTCACTCTGTCACCTAGGCTGGAGTGTGGTGGCATGATCTCTGCTTACTGGAGCCGCAACTTCCCAGGCTGAATCAGTCCTCCTACCTCTGCCTCCTAAGTAGCTTGGACTACAGTTACAAACCATCACACCCAGCTAAATTTCTTTATTATTTTTTGTAGAAATGGAGTCTTGCCATGCTGCCTGGGCTGGTGTCAAACTCTTGGGCTCAAGCGATTCTCCCACTTTGGCCTCCCAATGTGCTGTAATTATAGGTGTGAGTCCCTGTGTTTAGATTTCTTTATTCCTTCATGATTCATTCTTGATAGGTTTTCCAATTTGTTGGTATATAATTGTTCTAGGTTTTCCAGTTTGTTGGTATATAGTTGTTCATAGTAGTCTCGTATGACCATTTGCATTTCTGTGGTATCACTTTTGTGGTCTCCTTTTTTACTTTTGATTTTATTTATTTGAGTTTTCTGCCTTATTTTCTTAGTTTATCTGGCTAAAAGTTTGTCAGATTTGTCATTACAGAAAAATACAGCTTTCTCTATCTTTTGTGTTTTTTAAGTCTCTATTTATTACTGCCCTGATCTTTATTATTCAGTTTCTTCTACTAACCTTGGGTTTAATTTGTTTCTGTTTTTCTAATTCCTTAAGTTACAATGTTAGGTTGTTTATTTGAGATATTTCTAATTTTTTTTTAATGTAGGCATTTGTCACTATAAACTTTCCTCTGAATCCTGCTTTTGATGTTTCCTGTAAGTTTTGGTATATTGTCGTTCCATTTTCATTTGTCTCTTGAAATATTCTGATTTCACTTTTAATTTATTTATGATGCATTGATTGTTCAAGAGTATGTTGTTGATTTTCTGTGTATTGGTGTGGTTTCTGAAGTTTCTCCTGTCATCGATGTCTAGTTTCATACCATTGTGGTCAGAAATAATACTTGACATGATTTCAATTTGTTTTACATTTGTTAAGTCTTGTTTTGGCCTAACATATGGACTATCCTGGAGAATGTTTCATGTGCATGGGAGAAGAATCTGTATTCTGCTGCTAAGTAAGAAATTTTTTATATACCTGTTAGGCCCATTTTGTCTCCAATGCAGTTGAATTGCAGTATTTCCTCATTACTTCTCTGTCTGATTGTTCTGACCACTGCTAAAAGTGGAGTATTGAAGGCCTTTAATATTATTGTTGTCTATTTCTCCCTTTATTCCCCTTAGTATTTGCTACATATATATTTAGGCACTCTGATGTTAGGTGCATATATAATTGTTACATCTTCTTGGTAAGTTGTGCCATTTATTATTAAAGTTCTTCTTTGTCTCTTGTGATTGTTTTCAACATGAAGTCTGTTGTTTGTTATATAAGTATAGCTACCTGTGATGTCTTATCATTTGCATGGAATACCTTCTTCCATTCCTTTACTTTCTGCCTATATGTACATAGGCTAAAGTAGGTCTCCTCTAGGCAGCACAGATTTTGATATGGTTGCCTTTCTTTTTAATTAAATTATCCATTCTACTTTTTTGATTGGAGAATTTAATCCATTTACATTGAAAGTAATTATTGACAGATAAGGACTTACTACTGCCATTTTGTCAGTTGCTTTCTAGTTGTTTTGTAGATCCTTTTTTCCCCGCTCTTGTTTATTTTTGTAATTTTCTTTAGTGTAAGTTTTAATTCTTTTTTTAAACATTTGTGCATCTGCTATATATTTGTGTTTTGTGGTTTCCATGAGGCTTACATAAAACATCTTAAAGTTAAAATAGACTATTCTCTGCTGATAACATTTTAACTTCAGGTACATAAAAAACTCTAGACTTTTACCTTTCCCCCTATATTTTATATTTTTGATGTCACGATTTATATTTTAAAACAAGTTATTGTAGCTATTGCTATTTTTGACTGTTCTGACTTTTAATCATAATAGTGTGTGTGTATGTATATATGTATATATGATTTATATAGTACTATAACAGCCTTGGGGTATTCTCAATTTGGCCACATATTTACTTTTTCCAGTGAATTTTATACATTATATGTTTTTGTATTTAATTAGCATTTTTTGTTTCTACTATAAGAACTCCCTTAAGCATTTCTTGTAGCTCTGGTCTAGTGGTGATGAATTCCCTCATCTTTTACTTGTTTGAGGAAAATTTTATCTTTTACTTCTGAAGGACAAGTTTGGTAGCTATAGAATTCTTGACACGCATGTTTTTATCTTTCAGCACTTTAAATATATCATCCCATTCTCTCTTGGCCTTTAGGATTTCTGTTCAGTTAATTACTAATAGTCTAATGTTAATTCCTTTATATGTGTCTTGACACTTTTCTCGTGCTGCTTTTAAAATTCTCTCTTGGACTTTACCTTTTGACAGTTTAATTACAATATGTCTCAGTGAAGACCTCTTTGGGTTGAAACTATATGGGACTTTCAAGCTTCACATATCTGGATGTCCATATGTCTTCCCACACTTGGGGAGTTTTCAGCAATTATTATAATAAGCTTTCTGTCCTTATCTTGGCCTCTTCAACTTCTCAAAATCCTATAATGCAAATGTTTGTGCATTTAATGGTATCCCATAAGTTCTGTAGGCTGTCTTCACTCTTTGTTTCATTCTTTTTGTCCTCTGAGTAATTTCAAATGACCTATATTTAAGTTCAGAGATTGTTTCTTCTGCTTGACCTGTTCTGCTGTTGAAGCTCTCTACTGTAATTTTTTTTTACTTTATTTGTTGAATTAGCTTCAAGATTTATGTTTAGTTCTTTTTTATGATATCTATCTTTGCTAAATTTCTCATTCCTTCAGATTTTGTTGAATTATCCTTCTGTATTCTCTTGTATCTCACTGAGATTCCTTAAGATTATTATTTTGAATTCCTTTTCTGTTAAGTCATAATTTCCTTTTCTTTGCGGCCTATTACTGGCCTATTACTGGAGGGTTCTTGTGTTCTCTTGGTGGTGCCATATTTCCTTGCTTTTTCATGTCACCACCTTGATATCTGCACATCTGTTTGAATAATCATCTCTTCCAAACTTTACAGACAGGCTTTCACAGATAAAGACTTTCACTTTTAGATCAGTCTTGGTGTGCTGGTTGGAAAGGGCATGGTGACTCATTTCAAGTAGATACAATGGTATAGCCTCCATGCAGCTTCTTTAGTTGTGACCAACATCAGCAATGACTTTGTGTACCTCAGTGGCCTAGGCTGTAGAAGTCTGTGGCAACAGTGCTGGTAGTAAGGTTTTTAGGGTCCTCAGTGGCAATTACTTTTGGGGTCCTCTTATTCTCACTTTATCCAAAATGGGAATATTTAGTAGAGCTGATCCTTCTTGGTGATGGGATTGACAGGGCCTACAAGTAATTGCAGTGGCATTAGGTACTAGGATGTAGGTGCTCTGATTGGCTGTGGAGCCAGGGTCTTAGTCTCAGGGTCTTGTGAACCTATTGTGACACTGGGTCTTGTGGTGCAAGTTCACCCTCTGAGGCAAAGTTGGATGTAGATTGCCCACAAGAGCTGGGGTCTGTGACTCTGAGGCACCCCCTAGTAGCTTAGGTTCAGGAGTATAGATTATAGCTTTTGACTTTGCCCCTGGGTACCAGGGCCCAGCTCTGGAGAAGAAGAGGTACTCTGGAGGTTTGTGCCCAGGGAGCAGCATATGGCTTCAGTTTTGGAACCAGACCAATAGGGCTCAGTGGCAACTCAGATCCAAGGGTTATCCCCATGGATAACCAGGCTCCCATGTAGTAGACCCTGGATCCTGCGATAGTGGGACTCGGCAGTATCCCAGACTCTGTAAGTCCAGGTGCAGTGGCAGCATGACCACCATGTGGAGTGCAGCTGTTGCTTGAACCCTGTTGGGGCAGTGGCAGGGGGACAGGAGGAGACAAGAAGCGTCACAGCTATAATTTAACTCCCCGGGAAGAATGACGTTCAGCATCTCAGAGTCTAGGAAGCCAGTGCAGCTCCAATGAACCAGAGTACTAGCACCATTTGGCCTGTATCGGAGGGCATTTTAGCCTAGTTGGTGTTCTGGTTTTCTGGGATGTGGGGTACCACATCAACTTGATCCTGGGAGGTGCAACTCCTCAGCTCAGTCGAGGCACAAATCCTTTGGTAATGAGGTGATGTGCCACTTCAGCTCATGACTGGGAATCATGTCTTCTCTGGGTGTCAACTGATGCATGACTGCTCTGGATGGCCAAGGCCCAGTTTCTTGAGAGCCAGAATATTGCTTCAACTTAGGCACGAATGGTGGCTGAGAGAAGTATATGGAGTGACTTTGGCAAACAACCATTTTTTCAGGAGGCAATGTGAAACTTCAGCAGAGGCCCCTAGAGACAGGGCACAGCAAGGATTGAGAAAAGTAGATGGTACAGCTCCACCATGGCACCGTTTCTTTGGGAGGGGTTGTGCAGCTTTAGCCTGGGCCCTGATGTGCAGGATGCAGCAGTGGCTGGGAGGGGCAGATACAGCAGCAACATCAAGGCACCATTTCCCCAGGAGGCAATGAGCAGCTTCAGCTCAGCCCCCTAGGGAGAGAGGGCACAGCTGCAACTGGGAGTGGGGTGGCTCCAGGGATGCTTGGCCCCACAGGGTAGGGTCTATTGCCACATCACAGCTTAGCTTGGGGGTGTTGGGCCACCAGGCAGAGGTGGTTCTGCTGTAGTGAAACCTCAAGGATGGAAGGGTATTAGGCCAGTGGCCTCCAGAGCAGGATACACTCCAGCAGTAGTTGCATTTCCAAAGGGGTGTAGTACAGTACCTTCACTGTGCCTCAGGGGGTAGGGCACAGTGTCAGCTTCTTCTCTGAGAGGAACACAGTGGTATGGACTCCAGAAGCTTCCTCAGCTGGGCTTACTGCCCATGAGGGCTTCAGTGGTCTCTACTTTTGAGTACTGTACGTGTCCAAGGTGTTGATGGGGACTGCTGGGATTTTCTTGCTTTGTTTTTCCCAAGAAGGAGTTCTTCTTGGTTTTGAGCTGATCCTGACTCGGGAATGAGGTGGTGGAGGCCATGGATTTTCTCTCATTCTCTAGTGGCTATACTGAATTTCTGTGCTCACTGGGGTTCCTGTTACTCTTTTGATGTAATCTAGCACTTTTCTATCAACATATAGTTGTTTGTTATTTGGGGTGTCTTTGGGTCAGGATGAACACTGAGTGCTTCTAATCTGCCATCTTGCTGACATCACTCTCTAGCAAGGCTACTTTCTAATACCGGTGAGTTAGCTGGGTTCATTAGTTGCCTATAGCTGCTGTAAAAAATTACTACAAATTCTGTGGTTTAAAACAGTGCAACTTTAATATCTTACAGTTCTGTAGGCCAGAAGTCTGACATGAGTCTGAACAGGAAAAAAATCAAGGTGTTGTCAGCACTGCATTCCATCTGGGGCCTCTTGGAGGGATTTGTTTTCATGCCTTTTTCAGGGAAACAAGGGTTGCCTGAATACTTTGGCTTGTGGATGCAGTCATCTGTCTTAAAAGCCACGAGTGGCCCACAGTCTTTCCCAGGCTATATCATTCTGGTTCTTTGTTTTCATAGTCAAATTTCCTTCTTTGACTGTCTTTAGAATCCTTCTGCTCAGGCCCCTCTGACAACCCAGGATAATATATCTATCCCCAAATCCTTAAATTAATCATGTCGGCAAAATCTCTTTTGTCATGTAGGGTAATATTCATAAGTTCCAGGGATTAGGATGTGAGTATTAAGGTGTGAGGTGGAGCAGGCATTATTTTGCCCACCATACCAGGTATTGCTTTTCAAGCTTTACGGCTTGCCGCCATTTTCTTATGTCTACGTTAATGTTTGATTTATTCATGTTTTTCTAATTTTAAAAATTTTGTTTCTTCTCCTTGTACTCTCAGTTCTCTCCATTTTCAATTTTAGAGTTGATTAACAAAAACTACCAGTGAGGATTAAAAAGAAATATTAATTTTTATTCCATACTTCTTAAGATCAATATTCATTTTCTAAGTAATCAAAAATAAAATTATCTTATTTTAGGAAAAATAACTGTATTAAATCAAGGAAATGAGTTATCTAAATGCTGTCCTTTGATGCCTTTGTCTGGGAAATGCTAGTTTAGTGAATATGTTATTAAAAATATTTTCATATGAAATCTTTATAGGGTCTTAAAACACCAATTAAACCTTGATTAAATTTTATAGACCCTAAAAGCTAGTAATATTTTCTATTTCCAGATGACAAAGAAAGATGTTCTGTGTACATAAGTCTCATTAACATTTTCATGCCTCTAAAAATCTGCATGTAGTAATTATTCCAAAATAACTCTTGGCAAAACACACACGCACGCACACGTGCACACACACACTCACACACACACGCACAGTCCAAACTGAGCCCAATGACAGATTTCCATCTCTCTGTCTGTTCGTGAACAGTTAGCCATAAGAAAAAAATGTTCTCAAACTTATGGCTTTCTGAAAGGGTCCCCATTTCCTAGTTTTGACAATGTTCTCTTTTGGATTATCTCATCATGTTGTCATTACCATACCATACTGGAAATGAGCTCTGCTATTGTCCAGTAACTCTGTCTATAGTCCCTAGATGAGAATTACTAATATGTAATTCTCTAGCAAGATGCTTTCCTCTTTAGCATTTCACATGACCCTTAGCATTCAATCACCATAAGCAGTAGGTGCAGTGTGGAGGAGTTTGCCAAGGCTAAAAAAATTGATATGTTCCTCTGGTAAGAGCACATGTATCAATTGATAAACAGTAAGCTGCAGGAAAAAGCATTTTCATTATTAGTTCAGTGCAGCAATCATACCATCTAAGGTGCTTTTTTTCACAAATGCATAATACAAGACAGTTAATGGCCCTTATATGTCAATGCCGGCTGCATTCACCCAACTGTAGGGAGTTGTTTCTAGTTTAACCTTAACTGATAGGAATGGGAGATAATCAGAATCAATCAATGAATTTCAGAGGATTCAAAGAGAGTCTCATATAATCCTAATGAATTCTAGCAGCTGGCATATGTGTAGCTTAATGGCTGTCATAAATACAGTGAAGATTTGACACAGTGGTCAAGTTTCATTTTAGGATTTTGGAAAGGTCTTAGTTTTTCACAATGTTAAATCAAGACCAGATTTTGGAAACCTTCCTCTGGGGAGTGTGTGTGTGTGTGTGTGTGTGTGTGTGTGTGTGTGTATGTGTGAAGTGTAAAAAAAGAAGAAGTAAACCTCTTCATAAAAGTTTTTTTTCTTCACCAATATTACATTCTAAATTGGGGTCAGTTCTAGGACACCTGATGATGATTGATATTCTAATTTTAAAAAAATTTCTCTTGGTAATTGAGTTTTCAG
This sequence comes from Homo sapiens, assembly GCF_000001405.40. Classification (NCBI taxonomy): domain Eukaryota; kingdom Metazoa; phylum Chordata; class Mammalia; order Primates; family Hominidae; genus Homo; species Homo sapiens. Next base: position 22,035,558 of record NC_000005.10, on the reverse strand, counting down.
ACACATTTTCAACCTATTATATTTGCTATTTTATTGTATTAAATAATAAAACAAGAAATATATGTAGTTATTTACAGTTTTCACATGTTTTTATACTTTCTGTTCTCTACTGCTCTCCATAAGGTTGGATGCCGGTAGTTAACATTATGACATGCATATATATATATATATACACAGGCCAGAGAAATTAACTTAACTACCCAAGGCCACTGCACCTAATTTATATAAATTGAATTTTTCCCTTTAATCTGCTAATAACTAATAACATAGCCTTTCTACTTTATCCTGCTACTTGATTAGGTCTTTGTGTGCCAAAGAAGAACACACCACAACTCCAAATCATTCCAATTTTCCAGAAGACCCAGACACTCATGGTGAATGAAGACAGGGACTGAAATATCAGCAAATTACTGTACATGACTAAATATAAAGGAACTTTATATGAACTACAGAAAGTCCTCACTTAACATCATTGACACGTTCTTAGAAACCACAACTTGAAGTGAAAAAACGTACAGCAGATCCTCAAATAATGTCATTTTTTCAATGTTATTTCATTATAACGTTGATGAGAAGAAAGTCAGTTTCACCATAAGTCATTTTGCCTAAAGTTGTAGATTTCAAGAACCTGTCAATGGCGTTAACCGATGACTTACTGTACCTGGTATTGTTTGCTTATTCAGGACATCAAAAAGCTTTATTTTATTGTCAAATTACTTATATCAGGATCTATATTCTAGACTCCCATATAGTTTTAATAATTTGTCTTTATTCTTCATGACACATTTTCCTTCATTATTTCGATAATTGGCAATTGAATTTTTTTCACCTGGAAGACTCCTCAAGAATTACAGCACAAATGTTTTTCAAATATGAAAGTTTGATTTTCTATAAGATTTACTTTTTGTTCACCAGCCTGTGAATAGTGTCCTATTCTTTGTAAAAGAGTGAGACTAGAAAATTATCCTTTATTAATTGTCATCTTTAGTGTAGCATGAAGGCAGACAGAGCAGGAATGTTCAGCTGGTCGTGGGATCTTCGCTGCAAGGCATATGTCTCCACAGTTCCTAGTATGGTATTTTTGGGAAACACACCGTGCATCATATGTTTTTTCCTTACAATATAGAAAAAAATAAGCCAGAGTAACTCCAGAGACATTACTAGAATTCTGTTACCTATGAAATAATGTTCTAATCTTTTATTCAACAATTTTCTTTACATATAGACTGGGTGCAGTGGTTCACACCTGTAATCCCAGCATGCTGGGAGGCCGAGGTGGGCAGATTACCTGATGCCAGCAGTCTGATACCAGCCTGGCCAACATGGCAAAACCTGGTCTCTACTAAAGGTATAAAAATTATCCAGGCATGGTGGTGCACTACTGTAACCTCCACTACTTGGGAGACTGAGGCAGGAGAATCCAGAAGGCGAAGGTTGCAGTGAGCCGAGATAGCACCAATGCACTCCAGCCTGGATGACAGAGTGAGGTTCTGTCTCAAAAACAAAAACAAAACCAAAAACAAACCCTCCCCCAGCAACTTTCTTTAAATATGTATTGAAGACTTACAAGGTGCCAGACAGGAAGAAAACATATTCACACTCATTACATTCATGGAGTTTATATTCCAGCTAGGGAGAATAGTGTTATTAACCAAAGCATTACACATGTTTATAATGACAGAAATGCTAAGTGCTAAAGAGGGAGAGTACAGGGCTCTGTGAGGAAGAGTGGCCTGGGCATGACTGGGCTCTCATACTGTGTGGGAAATTTACAGGGTTCGTCCCACTTTATTAAAAATATGTAAGGATTGTTTTACCTGAATTCATTTTTTCCAAGTGTTTTCCTGCCTGTTTTCTTCTTCTCACTCAATATCCATCCACATTACTTTTGACTAAAGAAAAACAGACATAATTTTAAATTATTTTCATTACTACTTTATTAGATTTCTTGCAGAGGCATTTTCTCTTTTTCAAATAACCACCAAAGTCATATTAGATATTTCCATTCAGGGCAGATTCAAATTGGTGTTTATAGACAATCTATTATAAAACTAACACAGAAATATGAGATTTTGTATAATTGGCTCATCTGAAACATCAGTGTCCTTTCCGGTATGAATAACACTATTCTGCAACATTTTGGATAACGATTTTAAGTCCTTGTTAATCCTGGCAAAGTTGAGATAATGGAAAACCCAGGGCTAGGTAATTGCTGTGAAAAAATTCAAGCATGTGTCTAAATAATTGTGGAGAAACAAAATCTTGGACAATAGATTTTATTTCCAACCTTGCTTGGTTTGTTCTTGTAATGCTGAGACTACATAATGAGAAAATTTCCTGGAGCAATAAATTACAGCTCCATTTTCTACTCACAGAATGTATGTATTCCAGTGCATTTTGCAACAAAATACATTGCTAAAATTTCCACATTTATACTCATTGTAAAATTATAGCTCTTTTGTCATTGAAAAAATGTAAAATAATAGTCTGAGTCAGCCTGGCCCCATTTTTTTTTTTTTTTTGGAAGCAAGATGTTTATATAGCCTCTTGGCTGTGGTAAGAATATTTTAGAAAAGCTTTTGGGGGAAAATGTTTCTTATTTTCCCATCTTACAGTCTGTTCTCCTCTGTCCCACCATGACAAGGCTAGGTATCTCTTCTGTCTGCTTCACTGCACCTTGAAGTTCAGCATTCTGCACTGGAGTCCTTCCTTTGTGTGTGTGCGTGTGTGTGTGTGTGTGTGTATATATACACACTATATATATATAAATATGTATGCATATATAATACATATATAAAATATATATAAATATGTATATATACAAAAATATGTATATACATTTTTTTTTTTTGAGATGGAATCTCACTCTATCGCCCAGGCTGGAGTACAGTGGCACGATCTCGGCTCACTGCAACCTGCACCTTCTGGGTTCATGCAATTCTGCCTCAGCTTCCCAAGTAGCTGGGATTACAGATGTGCACCACCATGCCCAACTAATTTTTGTATTTTTAGTAGAGATGGGGTTTCACCATGTTGGCTAGGCTGGTCTTGAATGCCCAACCTCAGGTGATCCACCTGCCTCAGCTTCCAAAGTTCTGGGATTATAGGAGTGAGCCACCGTGCCTGGCCCCTTTTTGTATATTATTATCATTCCATTAAGATGCAAGCTCCACACAGGCAAGGATCAAGGCTAGAATGCCTTTCTCAAAATGGAATCGCCTACACTTAATATATAATGGGAAGTCAAGAGGTATTTGCTGTAGTAATACCATCCTTTCATTTCTTTAGGTTATAAAAATTTCTTATAGGCTGTATATCAGTAATTCCCAGAATGTATTTCTTTTTAACTAGATATGCACATTATATGTTATGATTAATATTTATAAGCACATAGTTGACAGGCATGTCATATATATGTTCATAAATGATATGTAGTTGAAATATATATTATATAATATTTCTATTTATAATATTGTCATACATCCTTTTATTGTATTTCACTTTATTGAGCTTTGCAGATATTGTTTTTTGTTTTGATTCGATTTTTTTTTTATAAATTGAAGGTTTGTGGCAACCCTGCATTGAGCAAGTCTATCAGCGCCATTTTTGCAACATGGGTTCACTTTGTGTGTTTGTGTCACGTTTTGGTAATTCTTGAAAATTCCAAAGTTCTTCATTATTATCATCTCTGTTATGGTCATCTGTGATTGGTGATCTTTGACATTACTGTTGGAATTGTTTTGGGGCTCCATAAACTGTGCCCATATTAGATGTGGCAAATTTAATCCATAAATGTTATGTGTGTTTTGACTGTCCTCTGGCCATTTCCCTGTCTCTCTCCTTCTCCTCTGGTTCCGTATTCTTGAAACACAACAATATTGAAATTAATGTCCCTACAGTGGCCTCTGAGTGTTCAAGTAAAAGAAAGAGTTTCATGTTTCTCACTTTACATCAAAATCTAGAAATGATTAAGCTGAGTGAGGAAGCCACATTAAAAGGCGAGATAGGCTGAAAGGTAGGCTTCTTGTGCAGAATAGTCAGCCAACTTGTGAGTGCAAAGAAAAAGTTCTTGAAGGAAATTAAAAGTGCTACTCCACGAACACATGAATGATAATAAAGTGAAACAGTCTTATTGCTGATATGGCAAAAGTTTTAGTGGTCTGGGTGGAAGATCAAACCAACCACAACATTCTCTCTCTTTTTATTTTATTTTACTTATTTTATTTTATTAGATGGAGTCTCTGTTGCCCAGGCTGGAGTTCAGTGGCAGGATCTTGGCTCACTGCAACCTCTGCCTCCCGGGTTCAAGCGATTCTCCTGCCTCAGACTCCTAAGTAGCTGATATTACAGGCACCTACCACCACGCCTGGCTAATTTTTTCTATTTTTAGTAGAGACAGAGTTTCACCATGTTGGCCAGGCTGGTCTCGAACTCCTGAGCTTGTGATCCACCCGCCTTGGCCTCCTAAAGTGCTGGGATTACAGGTGTGAGATACCATGCCTGGCCCACAACGTTCTCTTAAGCAAAAACCTATTTTAGAGTAAGGCCCTAACTCTCCTCAATTCTGTGAAGGCTGAGAGAGATGAGGAAGCTGCAGAGAAAAAGTCTGCAGCTAGGAGAGTTTGTTCATGAGATTTAAGGAAGTAAGTAATCGCCATCACATAAAAGTGCAAGGTGAAGCAGCAGTGCTGATGTCTACAACTGCAGCAAGTTATCCAAAAGATCTTGCTAATATCGTTGATAAATGTAGCTACATTAAACAACAGATTTTCAAAGTGGACCAAACAACCTTCTGTTGGAAGAAGAGGCTATCTTGGACTTTCATAGCTAGACAGGGGAAGTCAATGCCTGGCTTCAAAGTTCAAAGTACAGGCTGACTCTTTTGTTAGAGGCTAAGGCAACTAGTGATTTTAAGTTGAAGCCAATGCACATTTTCCTTTCTGAAAATCCTAGGGCCCTTAAAAGTTGTGTTAAATCTAATTTGCCTGTGCTATATAAATGAAACAACAAACCCTGGATGACAGCACATCTGCTTACAGCATAACTTACTAGGTATTGTAAGCCCACCGTTATGAGCTACTGTTTAGGTAATAAGGTTCCTATCAAAATATTACTGCTCATTCACAATGCACCTGGTCACCCAAGAGCTCTGATAAAGGTATTCAAGGAGATTAATGCTGTTTTCATGCCTGCTAATACAACATTCATTCTGCAGTCCATGCATCAAGGAGTAATTTCAACTTTCAAGTCTCATTCAAGAAATACCTTTCTTTTTTTTATTTTATTTTATTATTATTAAACTTTAAGTTTTGGGGTACATGTGTACAATGTGCAGGTTAGTTACATATGTATACATGTGCCATGCTGGTGTGTTGCACCCATTAACTCATCATTTAGCATTAGGTATATCTCCTAATGCTGTCCTTCCCCCCTCCCCCCCACCCCACAACCGTCCCCAGAGTGTGATGTTCCCCTTCTCGTGTCCATGTGTTCTCATTGTTCAGTTCCCACCTATAAGTGAGAACATGCGGTGTTTGGTTTTTTGTCCTTGCGATAGTTTACTGAGAATGATGATTTCCAATTTCATCCATGTCCCTACAAAGGACATGAACTCATCCTTTTTTATGGCTGCATAGTATTCCATGGTGTATATGTGCCACATTTTCTTAATCCAGTCTATCATTGTTGGACATTTGGGTTGGTTCCAAGTCTTTGCTATTGTGAATAGTGCCGCAATAAACATATGTGTGCATGTGTCTTTATAGCAGCATGATTTATAGTCCTTTGGGTATATACCCAGTAATGGGATGGCTGGGTCAAATGGTATTTCTAGTTCTAGATCCCTGAGGAATTGCCACACTGACTTCCACAATGGTTGATCTAGTTTACAGTCCCACCAACAGTGTAAAAGTGTTCCAATTTCTCCACATCATCTCTATCACCTGTTGTTTCCTGACTTTTTAATGATTGCCATTCTAACTGGTGTGAGATGGTATCTCATTGTGGTTTTGATTTGCATTTCTCTGATGGCCAGTGATGATGAGCATTTTTTCATGTGTTTTTTGGCTGCATAAATGTCTTCTTTTGAGAAGTGTCTGTTCATATCCTTCGCCCACTTTTTGATGGGGTTGTTTGTTTTTTTCTTGTAAATTTGTTTGAGTTCATTGTAGATTCTGGATATTAGCCCTTTGTCAGATGAGTAGGTTGCAAAAATGTTCTCCCATTTTGTGGGTTGCCTGTTCACTCTGATGGTAGTTTCTTTTGCTGTGCAGACGCTCTTTAGTTTAATTAGATCCCATTTGTCAATTTTGTCTTTTGTTGCCATTGCTTTTGGTGTTTTAGACATGAAGTCCTTGCCCATGCCTATGTCCTGAATGGTAATGCCTAGGTTTTCTTCTAGGGTTTTTATGGTTTTAGGTATAACATTTAAGTCTTTAATCCATCTTGAAATAATTTTTGTTAAAGGTGTATGGAAGGGATCCAGTTTCAGCTTTCTACATATGGCTAGCTGGTTTTCCCAGCACCATTTGTTAAATAGGGAATCCTTTCCCCATTGCTTGTTTTTCTCAGGTTTGTCAAAGATCAGATCGCTGTAGATATGTGGCGTTATTTCTGAGGGCTCTGTTCTGTTCCATTGATCTATATCTCTGTTTTGGTACCAGTACCATGCTGTTTTGGTTACTGTAGCCTTGTAGTATAGTTTGAAGTGAGGTAGCGTGATGCCTCCAGCTTTGTTCTTTTGGCTTAGGTTTGTCTTGATGATGCGGGCTCTTTTTTGGTTCCATATGAACTTTAAAGTAGTTTTTTCCAATTCTGTGAAGAAAGTCATTGGTAGCTTGATGGGGATGGCATTGAATCTATAAATTACCTTGGGCAGTATGGCCATTTTCATGATATTGATTCTTCCTACCCATGAGCATGGTATGTTCTTCCATTTCTTTGTATCCTCTTTTATTTCATTGAGCAGTGGTTTGTAGTTCTCCTTGAAGAGGTCCTTCACGTCCCTTGTAAGTTGGATTCCTGGGTATTTTATTCTCTTTGAAGCAATTGTGAATGGGAGTTCACTCACGATTTGGCTCTCTGTTTGTCCGTTATTGGTGTATAAGAATGCTTGTGATTTTTGTACATTGATTTTGTATCCTGAGACTTTGCTGAAGTTGCTTATCAGCTTAAGGAGATTTTGGGCTGAGACAATGGGGTTTTCTAGATATACAATCATGTCATCTGCAAACAGGGACAATTTGACTTCTTCTTTTCCTAATTGAATACCCTTTATTTCCTTCTCCTGCCTAATTGCCCTGGCCAGAACTTCCAACACTATGTTGAATAGGAGTGGTGAGAGAGGGCATCCCTGTCTTGTGTCATTTCTCAAAGGGAATGCTTCCAGTTTTTGCTGCAATCAAACTAGAGCTCAGGATTAAGAAACTCACTCAAAACCTCTCAACTACATGGAAACTGAACAACTTGCTCCTGAATGACTACTGGGTACATAACGAAATGAAGGCAGAAATAAAGATGTTCTTTGAAACCAACGAGAACAAAGACACAACATACCAGAATCTCTGGGACACATTCAAAGCAGTGTGTAGAGGGAAATTTATAGCACTAAATGCCCACAAGAGAAAGTAGGAAGGATCCAAAATTGACACCCTAAAATCACAATTAAAAGAACTAGAAAAGCAAGAGCAAACACATTCGAAAGCTAGCAGAAGGCAAGAAATAACTAAAATCAGAGCAGAACTGAAGGAAATAGAGACACAAAAAACCCTTCAAAAAATTAACGAATCCAGGAGCTGGTTTTTTGAAAGGATCAACAAAATTAATAGACCACTAGCAAGACTAATAAAGAAAAAAAGAGAGAAGAATCAAATACACACAATAAAAAATGATAAAGGGGATATCACCACTGATCCCACAGAAATACAAACTACCATCAGAGAATACTACAAACACCTCTACGCAAATAAACTAGAAAATCTAGAAGAAATGGATAAATTCCTCGACTCATACACCCTCCCAAGACTAAACCAGGAAGAAGTTGAATCTCTGAATACACCAATAACAGGCTCTGTAACTGTGGCAATAATCAATAGCTTACCAACCAAAAAGAGTCCAGGACCAGATGGATTTACAGCCGAATTCTACCAGAGGTACAAGGAGGAACTGGTACCATTCCTTCTGAAACTATTCCAATCAACAGAAAGAGAGGGAATCCTCCCTAACTCATTTTATGAGGTCAGCATCATCCTAATACCAAAGCTGGGCAGAGACACAACCAAAAAAGAGAATTTTAGACCAATATCCTTGATGAACATTGATGCAAAAATCCTCAATAAAATACTGGCAAACCGAATCCAGCAGCACATCAAAAAGCTTATCCACCATGATCAAGTGGGCTTCATCCCTGGGATGCAAGGCTGGTTCAATATACGCAAATCAAAAAATGTAATCCAGCATATAAACAGAACCAAAGACAAAAACCACATGATTATCTCAATAGATGCAGAAAAGGCCTTTGACAAAATTCAACGACCTTCATGCTAAAAACTCTCAATAAATTAGGTATTGATGGGACATATCTTAAAATAATAAGAGCTATCTATGACAAACCCACAGCCAATATCATACTGAATGGGCAAGAAATACCTTTCATAATACTACAGCTGCCCTAAATAGTGATGCTCTGCTGGTAGGCCAGTACAGGTTCTAACCTTTGCTGCACCAAAGAATTTGAAAGTGAGACCAAAGTGAAAGTGTAGAAACTTTATTGTGGAGTGTAAGTAAATAGAAACTCAAGACAGGAGTGTGGGTGTGCTCAAAAGAATGAGGCACATCCAGTGTTGTCAGGGCTCACACACTATATGGATAAGTATAATGAAAGCATGAAACCCTAACCCTAATGTTAACCCTACCCCTACCCCTGATCTGAACCCTAATCTAACTCATTAGAAGCATAATGAAAGCATAGAATATTCTATAATAAGGGGAAGAGTTTTCTGGGAAATGGATGAGCAGTTCCTGGATTTGGGGTGCCACCCTTTTATTGACTAAATATGGTTAATCTGGAACTGTCATAGCATCAGGTGCATGATGGGAATGGGAGGTTTACTCATAATTTTATGGGAATAGAGGCATAACGAAACCAAGGGTTAGCAGTTGGTCAAATTTTATGCTGTCTTGGATTTAACCAGTTGTGGCCAATTTCTTTTTTGTTACATTCTCATCTGTACCTAAAGCAGGGTGTCTGCAGTCCGTCTTTATTAGCACAGCCTGCTGTAACAGTTCCTTTCCACTAGGGATCATGTCTAACCAGTTTGGCCCCATTTGTGTTGCTTTTAGCCACCTGCAAATAATCATTCCTGTTCCCTCACTAAGTGCCTGGCGCCATGCCTCTGATGGATCTGGGCAAAGTAAATTGATAACCTTCTGGATAGGAATCACCATTCCAGATGCTATTGAGAACGTTTGTAATTTGCATTTGTGGGAGGTGGTCAAAATACCAACATTAATAGGAATTTGGGGGAGATTGATTCCACTTCTCATTCCACACAGATGACTGAGTGGTTGAAGATTTCAGTGGAAGAAATAACTACAGATGTGATAAAAATTGCAAAATAACAAAAATTAGAAGTGGAGCCTGAAGATAGGACTGAATTGCTGCAATCTCATGATTAAACTTTAATGAATGAGGGGTTGTTCTTAAGAATGAGCTAGAAAAGTGATTTGTTAAGATGGAAACATTGCTGGTGAAGAAGCTGTGAACATTGTTGAAATGACAATAAAGAATTTAGAATATTACATTACGCTGAGTTCATAAAGGGGAGGCAGGGTTTGAGAGGATTGACTCCAATTTTGAAAGGAGTCCTACTGTGGATAGAATGCTATCAAGCAGCATTTCATGCTAGAGGAACATCTTGTGAAAGGAAGAGTGAATAAATGCAGCAAACTTCATCATTATCTTAATTTAAGTAACACTGCAGCCAACCCAGCCTTCAGCAACCACCACCCTGATCAGTTAACAACCATCAACATCAAGTCAAGCCCATCCAAGGCAAGGCTATTCAGTGAGATGATCATTAGCATTTTTTTAGGAATTAAATATTTTTAAATGCACCTTAGTGTGTGCATTTTCTTTAGATATAATGCTATTGTACTCTTAATATAGTATAGCATGAACATAACTTTTATAAGTGCTGGGAAACCAAACAATTATGATTTGCTTTATTGCAATATTTCCTTTATTACACTGGGTGTAAAACTGAATATATGTATATTATATCTATCTAATTTCTTTATCAATAAATATAAAGAGTCCAAAAAGTAAGCTCCCTTGTGTCCAGAAATTTATATTTTGTGTTAGCCATGGCTAGACCTATATCATTAATTTTGTAAATTCTATATTCTGAGAATTCTAATTCTGATTCTAATCTGAATCAAATTCTAGAGTCTGAGAATTCTAAATACTAAATCAGGGATGGTGGTTTGATTTTGTTTTTGTTTTATTATTAGGCATCATAGTAAAGTAATGTTTCTTTTGATTTTAAGCTGAGTATCAGTTGGGTTGGCTGAACAATTGTTGAAAAGTATTTACTCAGTATTTCAATTTTTTAGGTGGGTTTCTATAAAGACAAATTAATTAACTGATATTAACACCCAACACAAAGTTTCAAAAATCTAAATTGATATATATGGCATACAGTAGTCCATACATTTAGATTTTCTGTGTACTAATTTAATTTGCTTTTGGCCAGGCATGGTGGCTCACAGCTGTAATTCCAGCACTTTGGGAAGCAGAGGCAGGTGGATCACTTGAGGTCAGGAGTTCAAGACCAACCTGACCAATATGGCAATACATTGTCTCTACTAAAATACAAAAAAATTAGCCAGGCATGGTAGCATGTGCCTGTAATCCCAGCTACCTGGGAGGCTGGGGCATGAGAATTTCTTGAATTTGGGAGGTGGAGGTTGCAGTGAACTGAGATCACACCACTGTACTCCAGCCTGGGTGACAGAGTGAGACTCTGTATCAAAAATAAATGAATGAATAAATAGATAGATAAATAAAGTAAATTTACCTTTATGCATGATGATACTTCAAGTTATTTATATTGTTGAAAGTGAGTAGTTTTATATATGCTAGATTTTTTAGAAATAGTCAGTGGTCTTTTAAGTGAGAAAATGCAAATTATTTCTTAAGTTGAAGAGTATTGTCTGCTATTTTGTTTTGTTTTGTTTTATCTGAATTGGATCCAAAAAAGCATAAGCAGTTTTACATTGCAGCTCTAAAGGATTATTGGGTAGCATTCTGGAAGAAAAAGGGACAAACACTTTAATGTATTATACAAGATAAATATGTAATTATCTTCCGTATATGTAGTCACTGTATCATGTAGTTTTAAAGATAGTAACATACATTTTCAAGTCGCTAAAACTCAATTATTAATTATCCTCCATTTGATTAATACATTTTCCTCACCTCAATACTCAAATCACCTCCCCATGGTAGTGGGAACATTTACAAATCATGAATGGTCCATATGCCCTCACCCAACTCCCAGCACTTTGCAGTTAGGTGGGGCCATGTGACTGCTTTTGGCCAATGAGCTGTGAATTTAAATCTGTCACCTGATCTTCCACATCTTCTGTCCCCTGCATCAGTGACATGACATAACTGTGTTAAGAGGGAGGAGCCAAATTTGGCTCTAACTTGGGTTACTACAAGGAAGAATGCTCTAGAAAGCCCTAAACACATAACCAGCTTAGTGTGAGTTAAGCCATTGTTGTATTTAACCTCTAAAATTTATGAATGAATTTATTAACTCAGGTTACCCAAGCTTGTTTTAATATACCTTGAACACATTTTTTATCTTTACAGTAAATTTGCCTCTACTTTGATACCAGTCTGCTTCTTGTGTAATAAGTGTTTAGTTGATTCTACCTGTCATTATAGAAATTTGTGTGTGTGTATATATATATATAGAGAGAGAGAATATTCGTGTGTATATATATATACAAATACAGAGAATTATATATATATACACACACACACAAATATAGATAATAGACAGATAAATATAGAGAATGAAAGCTTGATGAAGTCAGAGACCACATTGTCATCACAGGATACATATCAAAAATGAGCAACATGTTTGCATGTTTATTTAATACAGATTTTTAAGTACTTCTGTGTGCATATCATTGGACAAATCATGATGAATATAATGAAGGCAAGAAATAACAGGGTATTAAAATAAAAAATGTCCAGGTGGCATACATCTTATTGCAGAGTTCATTAGTGTGAGGAAGGGAGAATTTCTACATACAAGAAAAGTGTATATAAAGGGCCTGAGTCATGGAAGAGCTTGATTTTGAGAGAATGTGAATACTCAGTGTGGTTGGTAAGCATGGGAGAGTGGAACAAGATGGAATCACAGAAGTCAAGAGTGGATAATGTAAGACCCTGCAGACATTAGAATTTGGATGCTACAGTAAATATAGTTGAAAGTTACTAAAGAGTTAATGGGGGGGTTAATATGAGATAATTGTTATTTTTTAAAGCTCCTAAAATTACTTTGTGAAATTTTTGGAAGATTGGTGATAATGAAAGGAAGGGAAACCAGTTAGATTATTTTGCACTGCTTTGGACATGAGCTAATGAAATCTGTTTATGATGGGAATAGAGCTAAAAACAAACAAGTAAATTTATGTATTATTTGGAGGCAAAGCAAACAGTATGTAAAGGTAGATAAAGTTTGGAATATCAGAAGAAGAGAAAAGTCACAGGTGACTTCTAGGATTTGGTTTTTAAATTAAATCAAAGTTATATAGGGTGAGCAAGAAAATTATTAAATAGAAAGCAGATATATAGGCTTTAATATTTAAATGTCTTAGATCTATAGGTTTTAATATTTAGATACTCAGCCTGTGATATTATTACTTCAAAATGTAAGATAATCAAATCCAATACTGTGCTCTATTATTTCGTCCATGATATAATCAGCTGATACCACATGTATTAGTTGATTCTCACACTGCTACAAAGAACTACCTGAGACTGGATAATTTAAAAAAAAAGAAGTTTAATTGACTCACAGTTCCACAAGCTATACGAAGGCATGGCTGGGGAGGCCTCAGGAAACTTAACAATCATGGTGGAAGGGCAAAGGGGAAGCAAGCCATGTATTCACATGGCTGCAGGAGAGAGTGTGTGAAGGAGGAAGTACTACACACTTTTAAACAACCAGATCTCATGAGTCAGTATCATGAAAAGTACATGGGGAAAACCCACCCCCATGATCAAATCACCTCCCACCAGGTCCCTTCCCCAACACTGGGAATTACAATTCAACATGAGATTTGGGTGGAAAGACAGAGCCATACCATATCACCAGATTCAAAATATGATGTCTAAAGTCAATAGTGGGGCTGGCTGAGTGGCTCATGCCTGTAATCCCAACACTTTGGAAAGCTGAGGCGGGAGGATTGCTTGAGGCTAGGAGTTCAAGACCAGCAAGGGTGACATACTGAGGCTCTGTCTCTACAAAAAATTTTAAAAATTATCTAGGCATAGTGTCATGTGACTGTAATCCTCACTACTCAGGAGGCTGAAGTTGAAGGATCCTTTGAATTCAGGAGTTTAGCTACAGTGAGCTATGATTGTGCCACTGCGCTTCAGCGTGGGTGACAGAGCAAGCCTTAGTCTCTAAATAAATAAATAAATAATGTGGACAGCCACATGTCCATTCTAACTCCTTGCTCTAATAACAGAACCGCATTTTCTAGCTGCATTTAGGATTGATCAAGCCAACACAATCTATACATATTTTTTACTCAACTATTAGCATTAACTCACCCTATTCCAATTGAATGAAAATCATCTAATGCAAAACCTATTTTATAATAAAGTATTTAATATCTCACATATTTTATCAAGTACTATACTGAAAGTGAATAGCAAAATGGTTGTACGAGTACTCAGAGTAAGTTTCTAATGAATGTGTATCACATAATTGTAAAGTTGAAAAATCATAGTTCAAACCACCTTAAGTCAGGGACCATCTGTACCGTGTAATATCAATTTGTACCTTTCCACCTTTGCAAGTAGTCTTGATGCCTCGGTACTTTCCCTAGGTCATCAAGCTTTGTTCACATTTTTGACTGCTCTATTCATATTTCTTCCTCTGATAGATCCTATCTCCTTTCTTCTTTCCCTAAGAATAATACAGGTGGAACAGATCTAATCAGAAAATCCAAAATTCAAAGGGCTTCAAAATCTGAAACTTTTTGAGTACTGACATGACTCCACATGTGAAAAATTCCAAACATAAGTACTTAATGCAAACTTTGTGTCATGCACAAAATTATTAAAAACATTGTATAAAATGACCTTCAGGCTATAGTTACAAAGTGTATATGACACATAAATATTGTGTTTAGTCTTGGGTCCTTTCCCCAATATATCCCATTATGGGTGTGCAAATATCCCCAATTTGACAAATGTGAAAAATTCAAAACACTTCTCGTCCCAAGCATTTCAGATAAGGAATCTTCAGTCTGTACCATCTCCCTGGTCCAGTATGATATCATAGCATGTTAAAATAGTAATAAAAACAGCACTCACCAATTAGAAATGTTAAGATTGTTTAATAAGAAAGATTTCTTATCAGGAATTTACAATAGTCCCTGTGCTATGTACTGAATTGTGCCCCCTCCCCAAAATTCATATGTTGAAGCCCTAACATCTAATGTGACTGTATTTGGAGATAAGGTCTTTAGGTGGTAATTGACATTTTATGAAGTCATGAGAGGGGGGATAACTCAATACAATTGATGGCCTCTCAGAAGAGGGAGAAAGAGAGGTTTTTCTTTCTCTCTCCATGTGCAGGCTCAAAGTGAGAATGAAGGGAGAAGGTGAGCATCATCAAGCCAGAAAGAGAGCCTCCATCAGGAATCAATTGACATGAATCTCGATCTTGGAGGTTGGACTTCTTTTTTTTTTTTTTTTGAAACGAAGTCTCACTCTTGTCACCCAGGCTGTAGTGCAGTGGCACCATCTCAGCTCACTGCAACCCCCGCCTCCTGGGTTCAAGCGATTCCCCTGCCTCAGCCCCCCGAGTAGCAGAGATTACAGGCTTGCACCACCATGTCTGGCTAGTTTTTGTATTTTTAGTAGAGACGGGGTTTCACAATGTTAGCCAGGCTGGTCTTGAACTCCTGACCTCAGGCGATCTGCCCGCCTCAGCCTCCCAAAGTGCTGGGATTATAGGTGTGAGCCACCACGCCCAGCCATAATTGGACTTCTTAACCTCCAAAACTATGAGAAACTCATTTCTCTTCTTTAAGCCACCCACCCTGTGGTCTTCTGTTATGGCAGCCCAAGCCAACTAACATACCCTGTCTTGCAGTCATTATTCCATAGTGTTATGATAATTAGCATCATTATTCTTAAACCTCAACATGTATCTGAATCTCTAATCAGATCAAACTACTTAGCACTTCCAGAAGATTCTTCCAGTCCTCCTAGCCTCCTATGCTTTTTTATTTTTTTCGTCTCCAATGCTATGTATCATTTTTCTCTGCCCAGTAAGTGGTCCAGTGCCATTGGACTAAAGCCACTGGCCAAGAATACACACTTTGAGACTTAGTGCAGGCATTTCTTGGAAGATTTTGATTTCACACATATTGACAGTTAGGTTGCCACTCCCAGTTTAGAAAATTCCTCTCATCAGTGAGCTCAAGGCATCATTAATTATTGATGGTTTTATCCAAAGAATGCAGCATCCAGCCCATTATGTAAGATGTCTGCCTTAGTCATCTTGGGCTGTCATAATGAACTATCATGGACTGGATGGCTTGAACAACAGAAATTTATTTCTCACAGTTATGGAGGGTGGAAGTCCAAGATCCAGGTGCCATCAGTGTTTGGTTCATGGCGAGGGCCCTTTTCCTGGCCTGCAGGTCAACATCTTCTTGCCATGCATCATGTGATGGAGACAGAGAGCTCTAGTCTCTTCCTCTCCTTACGAGGACAGTATTCCATCATGAAGGCTGCACCTTCATGACCTCATCTAAACCTAATCACCTTCTCAGAGCCCCACCTTGTAATAAAATCACATTGGAGTTACAATTTCAACATAGGTACTTTGAGGGGATATAAACATTTGGACCAAGTGATGTTTGTGATAATAATATGATCTTTGTTTTCTAACTGGCATTTTCTAAAATATGTTGGAAAAAAAATCATGCCTAAAAATTCTTAAGTATATACTGTATGTGCTTTTTCACTTTTGTATCACCCACAAAAAGATAAGGTACTTAAAGGTGAAGATGTTGTCTTAGTTGCAGCTTTTTCTCCAACATATAGAACAAGACATATGACAGGCCAGGCCATAGATAGATGGAGAGAGAAAGGGAGGGAAAGATGTTAGATAGATAGAAATCCTAAATGTTTTAAGCAGAAACATTGAAATATTTCCTTCTTTTTAATTTTTTTTTTTTTTGAGACACAGTCTTGCTCTGTTGCCCAGCCTGGAGTGCAGTGGCACAATCTCAGGTCACTGCAACCTCCGCCTCCCAGGTTCAAGCAATTCCACCCAAGTAGCTGAGATTACAGGCACATGCCATCATGCCTAGCTAATTTTTGTATTTTTAGCAGAGATGGGGTTTCACCATGTTGGCCAGGCTGGTCTTGAACTCCTGACCTCAAATGATCCACCTGCCTTGGCGTCCCAAAATGCTGGGATTACAGGCATGAGCCACCGTGCCTGGCCAACATTTCTGAACGTAACACCTGTTCACTACCAATAGGACTAGTCATTAGTACATCACATTTTGGTAAATGTTGCCATTGATTTCTAGCACAACACTAGAAAGTGCTATCTGTTGGAAAGATATTTTAAAACAATGTTTTGTTGACTTTTATGTAACAACCATAAACAAAGGTCCTTGGCTACTTTATCCAAGGTGTAATTGGAAGTATAGCCTCACATCAGAGGACCTACTTGCTATTTGTGCATGTTCTTGTGCATTTGCCCATTCATTCATCCACTCAAAAAATACAAAGTTCCAACGTATGTGCAGCACACAGTGAATGGAATAGGAACTATCACTGCAATCACAGAGATCACATTATTTTTTGAGTTATATTTTCCCAGTTATCTTCATTAATCCAAAAAAGATCACATAACCTTTCTTACAGATTTTAAGATTTAATAGTACAAAGTGTTTTGAAATTATACAATACTAAAGATGTATGCTATCATTTTTTATGGTAAGCTCCCATATGACTTTTTAGGGTTAGCACTCATAAGTCTTTATCATAGAGAGGGAAATTGAGACAAACTGGCTTTTCAAAACTCTGTTTAGTTTCTGTTGGTTTTAAAAATTGAAGTACTTCAAACTAATTTAATCAACAAGAGCAAACACATTTATTGAAATGACATTATTGTTTCTTAATATCCAAGAAAAGCAGATAACCTGGACTAAATATTAAAAGGAAGGCAGCCGGACACGATGGCTCATGCCTGTAATCCCAGCACTTTGAGAGGCCAAGGTGGGCGGATCACCTGAGGTCGGGAGTTTGAGACCAGCCTGGCCAACATGAAGAAATCTTGTCTCTACTAAAAGTACAAAATTAGCCAGGCATGGTGGTGCATGTCTTTAATCCCAGCTACTCGGGAGGCTGAAGCACGAGAATTGCTTGAACTCGGGAGGCAGGTGTTGTGGTGAGCTGAGATTACGCCATTGCACTCCAGCCTGGGCAACAAGAGCAAAACTGTCTCAAAAAAAAAAAAAAAGAATGGAGGGAAACTGGTATTTTAGTAGAAAAATTAAATCAGCTCAGATGTCTCTGCATCGACTTACTGTCAATATTTCTCTCTAACCCTTTCCCTTTCTCTAGCTGCATGCCATTCTTGGCTCCCACATTTACATCTTCTTCATTCAATAGAAGGACAGTTTCTGAGATTAGTCTCTTTATGATTTCGTCCAAAATTCACCAGAATTTGAATCATTTTCAGGGTTAAAAGAAAAGTTAATGTTAATGAAATAGAGATTAAAGACTTTATTCATCTGATATACATAAGGGAGCATCTGAAAAACAGTTAATTCCCTTAGCAGCTGGATTGAAGTTTTCATAGGGTGAGGAGGAGAGAGGAGCATGTGACCTTCAGTCTAGCCCAGGTTACAGTTCCCTTTATCTGGAATTGCTACTACACTTGTGGTTGCAACAGTTTGATTTTCCCAGTTTTTGAAGTCTTATGTTCAGGGTCATTGGTACAATTCTTTGCCAGCAACCCTCAGAACAGTCTTTTTGAGCTGTTTTTGTAAGCCTTCAGGGTGGTCTGTCAGCCAACGTTCAAAAGACAAAGGAGTAGGAACAAAAGGGGAAGGACAGGGAAAGAGAGGTGAGAGGGAGAGAAAAAAAATGAGTCAAGGGTCAAAGCAAGGTAGTCTATGGTCTGAGTTGATATGGTGGCCAACATTTGCTCAGGAGTCTACCCTTGATCCAGTTAGCTTGAGTTTGTAATGGTGGGTCATAGAGTGGAGACAAAGATGCTATTGTCTTCCTTTGAGTGGGGCAGAGGCATTTTTCATAGAAATAGAAACAAGCTGTGACAGAAGGAGTATAGCACAGAAATTAAACAAGATCAATAAATGTAGTCTCAATATCCCCAGTTATTGAAGGAAAATGGCTGACTCATTTGGCTAGCACAACAAGATGTTAGTCATTAGAATTATCTACAAGTGCAAAGGTTTACTTCAGAGAAGAGAATAAACCACTAGAGTAGAACTGGATAAATCCAAGAGTTGCTGTGCAAGATATTCTTATACTGAGTGAAGGCTAAATTGGGGAACTTTTAAAACCTTATACAAGGCCGGGCATGGTGGCTCACACCTGTAATCCCAGCACTTTGGGAGGCTGAGGAGGGCAGATCACTTGAGGTCAAGAGAGTGAGATCATCCTGGCCAACATGGTGAAACCCCATCTCTACTAAAAATACAGAAGTTAGCTGGACATTCCTGTAGTCCCAGCTACTTGGGAGGCTGAGGCAGGAGAATCACTTGAACCCAGGAGGCGGAGGTTGAAGTGAGTCGAGATTGCACCACTGCACTCTAGCCTGGAGACAAAACAAGACTCCATCTCCAAAAAAAACAAACAAAAAAAATCTTATATAAGTGATTCTATAAATGGGAGCAGAAAAGATTACAAAGTATATGGCTTTCACCAGCTTACATAAACCTTACTGCAATCATTTAATTAAGATTAGCAAGCATCACAAAAGTGTTCTGTGTACACTTTTATGATCCTATTAATTAATTTATTTCCTTTTGTTACACTGGCCACCTAGAAAGATCATACTCTACAGTTTGAGGAAGCTATCATGATGTTCTCCGTTTCCTAATGTATTCAGTGATCCCCAAATATCAGTGAATGGCAATTTCAAAACAATAGTGTTAATAATCTAATTCAGTCTAGCTAATAGCCAATAGCCATATCTTAATAGAAAATCAACTTTATATATTTCTAAAGAGATTATTGTGTAACTATGATGCTGTCCTACTTAATAAGATGATAACAGATTTCTACCAAGTAGGGAGATATTATGCAAATTTCTTAGTCCATTTTCCTTTTAAAAAATAATTACTAATTATAGGCATGTAATGCTTATGATAGGAAATAAAGTGTCCTTTTAATAGTTTGTTTGCTTTCCTCTTTGTTTAACCATCTATGAACATTCAATATGATATTTTAAGCCAGATGAATGTATACTGATTATTTGTTTCAGAAATCTCTGGTATAACTATCTGTCACGGTACTTCACTGTAAAAGAACAAAGTTGAAGAATATATGCAAAATTACGCTGGGACTCTATAAAGCCATGGACATTATATCATGATTAGGTATTTAAATAGCTGAAAGTCATTTGCAGTCTTAATGTGCTTAGATGATATAACAAAGGACATGATGAACATGGGCCTTGAACCATGTCTGGGCAAGAAATAATGGTGACATTTGTCTAAATGCTGCATATATTCAACACATTTTGGCAGATTTTATTGATGAAAATGATTTTTGGAGAATCAGTGTTCAGTTTCAGAGATAAAAATGTAAATTTCCATTTTTCTTGTTGAATTACATTTCCCTCATGCTACATTAGCACTAATTTTAAAAGGGATTGGTACAATATGTATATCTCTACTATGTGATAAGTTAAGCTGTTGTATTCTGAAATTTAAAAGCATTATTTTCAGTGAAAAAAACCACACAAATAGAAATGTGTACAAAAAACTCACTGAATGATATTTCTTTAATAGTAAAGGCACAATATGTCAAAACCTCCTCTTTCCTTTTTCCAACGATGTAGAACTGCAAAGTTAGCTAATGTCATCTCCTAATTAAACAAAATCAACTGTGAGAAAATTAAACTGATTGCTTCACAATTATGGTTGAGCAAACACTCAGTTTGTCCCTGTTTCATCTCCTGCTTTAAATCTTTGAGAAATTTCCCATTGTTTTGCTTCCTTAGATTTACAGGGAAGAATATCTTAATATTCTTTAATGAACTTGCATTTGTAGCATCTATACTAATGTTACATCAACTAGGCCTTATGCATACATATTTATAACTTAAAATATTCTGCACAAATATGATATATTTTAAAGTCTATACCTCTTATAATTATTATTTTTTCGGCTGAAATTCAAGGCTATCAAATAAGTGTATGTTTTTAGAGTTGTACAGTGAGAATTTGAAAGCAGTCATGATATAATCACTGTAATTTTTTAAATTAAGTGGTGGCAGATAGGCCAGATAAATTGTGGGAAAGGGTCAGATAAATGATGTTATGAATGAGGTAAAATTTTATCATATTTTGTATTATTTGTTATCTATGCTTCTGTTTACATAGCAGGATGACTCTATTGCATTCTGTCATTAACACTGATTTGTCCATATCAGTGCAAGTGAAATCTGCCCTACCCTAAATGAACCAATTATTCCTAACCTACACCATCAAGAAAAGGTTATGTCTATCAACCTTCATTACATATTATATAGAATACACACAATATACATTCTAGATATATGAAGCCTTTGCATACATCTGAGTTATGCGTATGAGTATACATTTATATATACTTATATATCATATGTTTAAGATATATATTTCTGAGGATCCATATATGTCAGTGAACATGTACTCAATGAACTTTCATTATTGTGCAAACATAAACAGTGCAGTGTTATGGGATATTCCAACCAATTATAAGATCAAATCTCTTCATTTATTCTATTTGTTTTTGTTGTTATTGTTGTTGCTTTTTGAGACGGAGGAGTCTTGCTCTGTCACCCAGGCTGGATGGAGTGCAGTGGCGTGATCTCAGTGCACTGCAACATCCGCCTCCTGGGTTCAAGCAATTCTTCTTCTTCAGCCTCCCAAGTAGCTGAAATTACAGGTGCATGCCACCACACTTGGCTAATTTTTGCATTTTTAGTAGAGATGGGTTTTCACCATGTGGGCCAGGCTGGGTTTGAACTCCTGACCTAAAGTGATCTGCCTGCCTCAGCCTCCCAAAGTGCTGGGACTACAGGTGTGAGCCACTGCACCCAGCCTCTATTTGTTCATTTTTATAAGGCAATTTCTCACTCAAGATGTAGAATCCCTTTTCTTTTCTTACTTCATTATTTTTTTCTAGAAGCCAATGTTAAAAAGAGAAGTATATTAAGAGACACTTTAAAAAGATGAGATTTACGAAAACATCTTCACAATAAGAAAAAAACCCATATGTCATTTATATCTAAATCAATCAGATACCTTTAAGGCTTGTCTCATAGGATCCTATAACCAGGGTTTTTAAAACTGCTTTATATTAAGAATAGCTAAGAAATGGGAACTTAATCTGCCTTCCTTTTATGAATTCTACACCACAGCCAGTATGAGCTGAGATAATATTAGACACTCTTAATGTTATTGTTCCTGCACCTCAAATTCATGAAAATTGCATAGATATTTAGAGAAATCTACATTCCACTAAACATCTATTTATCTATTTATATATGTATTTACAATTTTTGCATTTAAGAATATGCATGCATTCACTCAATGTGATATAGTTAGGTTTTGTGTCCCCACCCAAATCTCATCTTGAATTATAATCTCCGTAATCCCCACCTAGCAAGGGAGGGACCTGGTGGAGGTAATTGAATCATGTGGGTGGTTTGCCCCTTGCTGTTCTTGTGATAGTGAGTGAGTTCTCAGGTTATCTGATGGTTTTATAAGGAGTTCTTCCCTGCTTTGCTCGGCACTTCTCCTTCCTGCCACCTTGTGAAGAAGATTCCTTGCTTCCCTTTCAACTTCTGCTATGATTTCCTAAGCTTCCTGAGGTCTCCCCAGCCATGCGTAATTGTAATTCAGTTAAACCTCTTTCCTTTATGAATTACACAGTCTCTGGCAGTTCTTTATAGCAGTATGAAAACAAAGTAAAACAGCATGTTTTGACATGTCCGTATAATTTGGTTGACTCACCTGGCCCCTTGCAGTTTGGTATAAATTGTAATACAATTTCCATGTTTATTTATCTCTATCAAATAATGAAAACATGGCATCTGCATTCAGAGATAAAGTTTCTCATTTTTATACAGGCACAAGTTTTACCTAGTAAATAATGTTTAAATAACTTAAAACCAAGTTCTAGTTATACTATCTATTACTCCAATTTGGTCTCAATAAATCACATGAAAGGAAGGTAGATATTGTTATTTTCATCTAAGAGGAAACCCAGTTTGAGAAAAATGAAATAACTTGCTTAAGGTCACAAATCCAGTAAGTAGTGGAGGCTAAACTGAAATCAAGGTTTTCAGGCTCCAAATTCTCTATTTTTGAATGTTATATAACTCAACCAAGTAAATATCATATATTAAGGTAAAAAACATCTTTCACACTTTCATACTACTAAACTCTATTACAATTCTCCATAGAATAACACATGGACATTTTAGCAGTTCTGTAAAACATCAGAGTAAAAGCTTTTCACCTGTAACTCACTGTCAACTGAAAGACAAATTTTACACTCTTAAAAATAGAAGAAATATCATTTGCAAGTAGAAGCGACAATGATGCACTTTTTCATTTTCTTAACTCAACTGGAATTAAAATTATATTAACTTATCATTTTTCTCTTTCATATCACAAATAACTTATTCTGTTTCTCACTATTGTAATGTTTTTTTTAAAGTCTAACAACTCTTTCACTTATTTGACAACAATTATATTAGAGTTAAAGTTAAAAACATTTTTTCTTTTGATGTTTAAAAATACAATACAAACAATGGAAAATGGAATTTGCATGTCATTGTACATTGCAGACTCCAAGTGGAATTTGCTAATCAGAAATTCCAATAGCATATATATTCTATATCTCTAGTTGTTTAAATCAATCGTTAATAATTAAAGAAAATTTTCAGAAATATAGTGTATATTTTAATTATATAAGAGTATGTAAATTTTGGATGCAATTAATATTTAAACCATTAATCTGCACTTCAATAATACAGAGTTGACTCTTTTGAGATAAAAGTCAGCCAGGATTACAAACTCTAGTAGTAGTTTTTAATAAATAAAAAATATTGAAGAAACAGCTTTGTTTTCCAATCCCTAGTTTTCTTCATTTGGTAAATAAATGTTTGCTGAACATGTATAAAATGTCAAGTATTGTGTGTGTTTTGATAGTTATGTATAAGCATGAGATATGAACTATTCATAGAATATTAATCTTTTTTGCATATTTGCTTATTTCATGTTCTTTTTTCAGTAAGACTTTGTGCCTTATAATTGCATATAACCCAACAGAATGAAATAAAATAAAATTAATTAGATGAGGACATCAAAATGAAAGAAAAATAAAAATTCTTTGAAACCAGGGACTAAGTTAGTATACAAAGTCCATGCCAAGAAGAATTAGTTTCTAGCAGTGTATTCCACATGTGGCTCTAAGTGTTCTGTCTATCCACAAATAGAAAAAAACAGACACAATTACATGATTCAGATCTTCCAGAAGTTAAATGGACATACACACAATTGTTTTGTTCAATAAAAGGCAAAACTATTCCTTTTAGCTGCATAATAAGAAAATATCTCTCATTATTCTTTTTCTAAGAGTACAGAAAATAATGGCCATCAACAATAACTTTAAGTAAATAATCTGATGTTTCACAGAATATTTTCTTGTAATTTCCCCCTCTGAGTCTTTGTAAGGATATTTTGTAAAAGCACTTCTGTAAGATCTGAATTTTGTGTGGTTGAGTATTAATTAATACTCTATGCAGGTCTGGCTTCATTACAGGAAGAATTTCCAGTATCCAGAGAAAATGGCTGGCCCATAGTCCTTCTGGCATGCCTTCATAAATGCTGCTTATTTTCACTAACCTCTCCATCTGTACTGAGTGGCAGTATGTTTATGGTTATTTCCCTCGAAAAGAGACTGAAGTTCAGAGAGCCTTTATTGTGTGTTAATTGCAAATCCTACACTAAAAAAGTCAGCTAAACCTGGGCTAGTAATGACGCAAGCATGAATCAAAAGGCATCTCACCTTTGCTCAGAGGGAAACTTCAAGGAATCCTTGAAGTCAAACATCCCTTCAAAGACTGTTAAGACACAAATGAATAGGGATTGGGCCCCAAAATTCTGAATCAGAGCATTACAGGATGTAAATCTCATGGAGAAAAGAACACATACGTCCGGCAGAGTGGGATAGGCACATATAATTCTAAACAGCACATAGTTTGAGATTTACAGTTAAATAGTCGAGATGACTGAGAATGTTGTTGACCCAGGGCAAGGAAAATTTTGTCATTGGGCACAAATGAGAATAATGAATTTATAATAAGCTGGATTCAGACAATTCTGTATCCTTACCCATGAATGGATAAACCAGAGAGTGGGACTAATAAAGTGTTCACAGATTGCATATTTTATTCAGAAAACTATCAAGGATAATTAAAGGGGCAAGAGATTAGCTAAGATATAATTGGTTCTGGGAACAAAAGCAATAGAGTTCCATGAAGCAAACAGCATTCATGATTTGGGTGAAGCGGGGCATTCACCCAGAATAAAAGACTTGCTAAGTTTGCTCAGGTTACATCAGGGACACATGTAATATAGGTGGTTAAATAGATGGGGGGTTAATGCCCATAAATTCTTAGTCCAGCATTCTCATGATCACAGGAAAAGTAAGAAGATATTGTCCTATTTATGTGAAAACTGGCATGGAAAAGGGAGAAGCAAAAGAGAAAATTTTACAATCCATTAATTAGTTTCATTAGCTTAAGATATACTCACATATATGCATCATCAAAATTCTGGAAAATTAGGCCACTACTAACACAGCTTCGAATATGATGGTAAAGCAATAGTTCATCAAGATTAAAAATAACTTAGTATATAAATTTCTCAGATACATTTTTTAGTTTTAGTCAAAGAGCCCACACAATTGTTTTATGTTGATACGGAAAAGACAGTGCTGACCCATTTCTCTTAAAACGAGAAACTAGAACTTTTCTTTCTTTCTTTCCTTCTTTCTCTTTTTTCTTTCTTTTTTTCTTTTTTTTTTTTTTTTTTTTGAGACAGTTTCTTGGCTCACTGCAACCTCTGCCTCCCAGGTTCAAGCAATTCTCCTGCCTCAGCCTCCCAAATGGCTGGAATTACAGGCAACCGCCACCACGCTCAGCTAATTTTTGCATTTTTAGTAAAGATGAGGTTTTGCCATGCTGGCCAGGCTGGTCTGGAACTCTTGGACTCAAGTGATCCACCTGCCTCGGCCTCCCAAAGTGCAGGGATTACAGGCATGAGTCACCGCGCCGGGCCAACTACAAACTTTCTTCTAGAATACATAACATTAAAAATAAAAATGTCAAAATTAATGATTTATTTATTTTTACTGCACAGTTGAGTTGATGTTAATGTAAAGTAAATTCTTAAAAGATAGAATCAACAAGTAACATTCCTTTTGAAAAGTATGCTTGTCCTAGATTAGTGTTTGCTACTTACTCGTCAGTTCTAATCACCAAGTTATAATTATATGTTCAAGAAATTTGGGGGGAAATTTCTGTGAAGGATCAATGGGAAGGTGCCAGAGAAGACAGGAAGAGCCTTTGGATTTTGATGCAAGGCTGAAATTTGTGAATGGAAGTAGGACGTGCAGGAAGGCCCTCATATAATAGGGCAGCTCTGAAAACATTAATGTTGGCCAGAGAGATGGTGAGTCCTGTAGCCAAAGTCAGAGGAGTGCACATCCTACAAGGATGAGCTGGCGTTATTAATTCTGTTTCGCTTATTCATTAGCTGGGAAGCCTGAAAGAACATGGCCTTAGTGGTGGTAGATCCAGAGTGTAAGAACAGGGTATATTAGTCGCCTCAGCTTCTTGCATCATGTTCTCTTGATGGCATTAGAAGTACACCACTGGGGTCCCATCTATGCAGAGTTTGAGATTTAATAGGCCACACCCAAGTGTGAGACAGTAAACAAGGACTATGGCCACATAGTCCAGGTAGAGCTTAGATTAGCACCCCTAAATGAGACTAAAACATTCAAAAAATTAAGCAAGTTCTACGCCATAGAAGAGGATGGAAGATAATCATGACTGTCTCAGAGACTGTTCTGTGTAGAGAAGGGAAAGAGAGGACTCCTGACAGAATTCTTCTCCATGGGCTCTCCTTCACACTGGGGAAGGGTCCCAGAAGACCTTAAAGTCCCAAATGTGGTTTTAAAATGGTCGCAGGTCAGGAGCAATCCCAGATATCTGGGACATGCAAACCCAAATCCTATGCTGAGGAATGTACCCTAAGCCCAGTCCTCAAATATTCCCTCAGATAAAGTTCTATGGAAATGAGTTCCCAACAAAACTATCACAAACAGATGGAGAGGGAAGTCTCTGAGCAAATTTATAGATAAAACAAAGGATACGATCAAACCTCAAGTGGCTGTGAAACTTGAGGGTCTTCATAATAAAAATACAACTTAAGGAGCTTGTAAGTCGGGTGCAGTGGCTCACGCCTGTAATCCCAGCACTTTGGGAGGCAGAGGTGGGCGGATCACTTGAGGTCAGGAGTTGGAGACCAGCCTGGCCAACAAGGTGAAACTCCATCTCTACTGAAATACAAAAATTAGCCAGGCGTGGTGGTGGACGCCTGTAATCCCAGCTACTCTGGAGACTGAGGCAGGAGATTTGCTTGAACCCAGGAGGTGGAGGTTACAGTGAGCCAAGATCATGCCACTGCACTTCAGCCTGGGTGACAGAGCGAGACTCCATTTAAAAAAAAAAAAAAATTGTATAGTTCATGTGAGCAGAATTCTAAGTGCTTTTATAAGTAACTCATCTCCTCCTCATAATTCCGAAAGCAGGGAATATCATTTCACAACACAGCCAACAAATATATGGTGAGTGCCAAAAGCACCAAGATAATACAAAAATAACAGCAGCGAGGAAAGCAGGACGTCTACCACCTTCATGGGGCTTGCCTTCTAATGAATACAAAATCCATATGAGCTCCTATTTTCTCTCTTTCTGTCCCTGTGTGTCTGTCTCTCTCTTTTTCTCTCAATCTCAAAACATGCATGTACACAACACATATACAACACAAACATTTCCTTTGCAACTGAAAATAGACAGATGAAGGATAATGAAAAAAATCTAGGAAAGCCACAAAATAACAAAATGATATGTGTAACAGGCATTGAAATCATCAGCCAAAACATTATATAGCCTAGCTACTGTGTGATTTTGTATAAATGAAAGGAAACTAGGAAGAATTTCTAACTTCACCATCTTCTTCCTGGGAAACCATGGGGAGAAGGTTTAGTCCCTGTTATTTTCGGTTTGCATCTCTATACATTTATTTACATTTCTCAACCTAACAATAACAGTGGAATTAAATGAAACCAGAAAGTGTTATGATTTAAACAGGAATAATTTTTCTGGATTTTGCAGGCCAACTGATACAAACAACAGAATGTTTTATTTTTCTAAAATAGGCTTAGTGGAAGCCACACTATTACTTCCTGGTCTGTGTTTGTCATCATCATTTTACTATTTTTTTAACTAAAAAAAAGTTGTATATCTTTATGGTGTACAACAGTATGTTTTGGACTATGTATACATTGTGCAATGGCTAAATCAAGCTAATTAATATATGGCTTACCTCACATACTTACCAGATATTAAAGTGAGAACACTTGAAATCTACTCTCAGTGATTTTCAAGCACTCTATACAATACATTGCTATTAACTATGGTCACCACGTTGTATAACAGATCTCTTGAGCTTGTTATCATCCTCATTTAATGTTAATACACGAGAAGATAAGTCCAGGATCTGTCTTTTATTACCTTTATTGGTTTCCTTATATAGTGCTATCTACTGTTACACTAGATTTTTCCTATGCAATCCAAGAATAGAGATTTTCTAAAACAATTAATTTAGTGACTTGAATGCAACTGGTTGGTAATTCTGTTTTTATTGTCAAAAGTGTAAATAAATAATTTTAAATAACATGAGTTCATTCTCTTTAATATTGGCCTATGAATTATTTGTTTATGATTCATAGGCCAATATTAAAGGAAATGACTCGTATTATTTATAAAGTTTATAATTTGAGATAAACAGGAAAATAAAACATAATACTAATTTTAATAATAATAAAAAGCTGTTCTGAGGGATTAATGCAAGGTTGTTACAGTGTGAACACTTCACATGCATTACCTATTTTCATGCTTAGAGCGACCTAATGTGCTAGTTACTGTCAGTGATCAGATTATACAGATGAGGACCCTGAGAAATAGAGAAGATAAGAAAACTAATGAAGTTAAAAAGAACAGAGCATGGACTCAAACCAATATCTGACTCAAAGCCCAATCTCTCACCTATTAGTTTGTAAATGTTATATCTATAGGTGAACTCACTAAAGCCTTCAGACATAAGATTCAAAACTGTGGTGTTTTCACAGTTAAATTATGAGTAATGTTTACTATTATATAATTTCTAAATAGATCAAGTTCTTGTTATTTACACATTTATAGACATAAAGTTTTGAGACATCTGGGTAGAGACTGAAACAATAGACTGGAACTTAAAAGCAGAAGTTTAGATGAGAGGGATATTTAGGTGTATTAATAAGGATTGAGGCTGTAAAAATGAATGAAATTACCCGAGAAAGCATTTCAAATAAGCAGAGAGGTGGGCTTGGCTGGGCACAGTGTCTCATGCCTGTAATCCCAGCACTTTGAGAGGCCAAGATGGGAGAACTGCTTGAGGCCAGGGGTTTGGGACCACCTTGGTCAATATAGTGAGACCCCCATCTATATTAAAAAAAAAATTAAAAGAAGAGAGGTGGCCTGAAACACAGACATAGAGTTACCCAATAAGTGGGGCAAGGAAGTATAACCATGCACAGGAAACTGATAAAGAGGGCCAGATGAGGAGACAGAAAATCAGGTCAGTGGGATGCCTCAGAAGCCAAAGAAATATGTTTCCAAAAGAAAATGATAAAAAGCTTTAGTAGTTGGTAGAAAGAGGATAGAAAGCTTTTCCATAGGATTGAGCCAACCTGAGCACAAAGGTGACCTATAAGCTGCAAAGGTAAAGGGTTGGCACTAGAAGTTCTAAGGTAACCATAAGTTTGAATACATTTGAAAACCCATTGCAGAGAGTAGGAGAGTAAGTTGACTAGGTATACAATTTCAGGCAATTTAGGAAAAAATAATTGAAGGACTGATTATAAATTCATTAATTCAAAAAGTATCTAATAGTGGCAGTAAACAAAACACTGTTTTGAGTGGTTTGGGTATATTTGCAG
Organism: Homo sapiens; assembly: GCF_000001405.40. Lineage (NCBI taxonomy): Eukaryota > Metazoa > Chordata > Mammalia > Primates > Hominidae > Homo > Homo sapiens. Next base: position 22,005,707 of record NC_000005.10, on the reverse strand, counting down.
TGTAAAACAGGCAATATCTCTGCTCTCATAGAAGTTAAGGTCCAGTAGAATGATAAAGAAACAATAAATATCAGGTAAAAATGTTTTAATACAATACATTAGAAAATGGCCAGTGGGTTTTTTTTTTTTTTAAGTAGATCACAACAATTAGAAAGATCAAGAGCGTTTGAGGTCAAAGCAGGTTGCATTTTAAAATGGGATTGACCCACTGCTGTATATCTACACAAAGGAAAAGGAATCATTTTTATAAAAAGACACCTGCACTGCTATGTTTATTGCAGCACTATTCATAATAGGAAAGTCATGAAATCTACCTCAGTGCCCATCAATGGATGACTGGATAAAGAAAATACGGTACATACTAGGGCCGAGCACAGTGGCTCATGCCTGTAATCCCAGCACTTTGGGAGGCCGAGGTGGGCGGATCACCTGAGGTCAGGAGTTCGAGATCAGCCTGGCCAACATGGCGAAACCTTGACTCTACTAAATATACAAAAAAATTAGCCAGGTGTGGTGGCAGGTGCCTGTAATCCCAGCTACCCAGGAGGCTGAGGCAGGAGAATCGCTGGAACCCAGGAGGCAAAGGCTGCAGTGAGCCTAGACTGCGCCATTGCACTCCAGCCTGAGTAACAGAGCAAGACTCTGTCTCAATAAATGAATAAATAAATAAATACAATAAAGAAAGAAAGAAAAAAGAAAATATGGTACATATACCATCCATAAAAAGAATAAAATCGTGTGTTTTGCAGCAACACAGATAGAGCTGGAGGCCATTATCTTGGGTGAAATAACTGGAAAAATCAAATACTGCATATTCTCACTTATAAGTGGAAGCTAAACAATGAGTACACATGGACATAAAGAGGAAAATAATAGGCATTGGGGCTCTAAAAGTGGGGAGGATAGGAGGGAGATGAGGGTTGAAAAATAACCTATTGGGTACAATGTTTACTTTATGGGTGATGGGTACATTAGAAGCACAAACCTCACCATTACCCAATACATCCATGTAACAAACCTGCACATGTACCCCCATACCTGTAATACAGAATAAAGTGGGATTGACAACAATACTCAATTTGGTTGATATTTCAGCAACAATGTGGACTGAAAGAAGTGAGAATTAGCCATGCGGATATCTAGGGAATAGCTCTCTAGGTATGGGAACAGCAGTGCAAACTCCCTGAGGTGGCAGGGCAGCGTGCATGAACAGTGAGAAGAGAGTAATAGGAAATGAGGTTAAGGAAACAGTGAGAATGAGTGTAGGGGCCAGAAAGTGTAGGAACTTGAAGGCCACTCCAAGGATTTAGGTTTGACTGAGTGAAATATGAACCTTCCTATTGCTAACAATGTACACTAGTCCCCTCATTTCTCCAGTGGGGTTCAGTGTAGGATTTCTATGCACTGAGAGTGGCTTCATAACTAGCTTTGACAATTACTACAGAAAAACAGCATGAGGAAGGAATAGTTTACAAGCGTCTTATGAAAATGCAAACCATATGTGTTCTGCTTAATAATGAACAGAGGTAAGAAATTAATGGGTGGCTGTTTTAGAAGAACGGAAGAGAAATGGACTGAGGTTTAATGCGTACATTTGTATTCTCATTCACTGATATCAAGATAAATACATTGAATCTGGATCCAGGATTTGAGGATTTTTCAGCATCAGACCCTCCTGTTCTTAGTCAAATCATTTCCATTTGTAAAACTAAATTACTATTTCAAAGTGCTGAGACAGAAATGGGACAAAAAAAGAAGACAATTTTGAGCCAAAAACGTTTTAACATAGCATGAAGCTTTAAATTAAAAAAGACACTTCTTAGTATTACACTTCTGGAATTTAACCTAAATGTAAATCCTTTTTTTTTTTTTTTTTTTTTTTTGTGGAAGCGGGGGCCTGCTGATCATTTATTCTTTCATGAAACGAAACAAATAAACATTTATTTATTGACTATGAAGATGGGTCTTGGGGAAATATTCCCTTTAGAAGCTCACAGTCCAGTGTGCTTTTTCTCCACTTTCTGTGTGGTAGTGAAGTATTTTTCCTTTTATAAGTGCAAATGAATTACTCACTTTTTGATTCCAGTCAATGCAACACTAGAATTATTCAATGAAATTACATTTTCTTATGGTGCTCAGAGGACGGCCCACTGCCAATGTAATTGAGGCCCTTTCAAAACGTAATTTCCATTAACAATGTTTACTCTGAAATTGTCTCTTTGGCTTTCTTCATATGATAGAATCTATGATTGAATGAAAGTGCTAGGCTTGAGATTACTGCATCTATAAATGTAATATTTACTTTGAGTATTAATGATTGTAATGGTTGGCTTTTAAGATCATTTCAGTTGCTTTGATAACGGAATAGCAAGGCAAGAAATTAACGGTGACAGATGACTTCATTAACTAATTCCAGTTAAATAAACCTCTGATTCTCTCCCTAGCTCACATGTTGTTCACATAAATGCTTGGAGAAAATGTGACGATTATAGTTCTTTTTATACATTTTAATATACATGCATCATACTGAAAATTTTATATATATTATATAAGGCAAGAATTATTCATAAATTTATAAAAGCAAATTCCATTCTCTGGCAATAAGATCCCTTAACACCCATATATATTTCCCATACAGGTATTATTAAAGTGAAAACTATGCAGTTTTTAGGCATATATCCACTAAATCAAAAGCCCCTTTTTGTTTAAATAATTTTCTTTAGCTATATCATTTTTGAAAGCACAATTTATAATGCTCAAAATAGAATGTGTTCCAAACTTTCTCTTAGAGTGCTCAGTGAGAAAGTATTTATATTTATATCCATTTTGAATCAGTCTTCAGAGAATCATACTTTAATCAGGAAATCTGAGCTTATGAAAATGTTCGTTATATTGATTTTTTTTTCCATATTGCTGTGCACACTGAATCTTGTCCCAGCAGGCTAATGAAATACTTTATTTCATGATGTGTCTCTAGGCTATGGAGATATGTGACATGTTATGGCCAAATTTTGTGTGATCTTCTATATTGAAAGAGTCACCCACATGTCCCTAAAAGATACCCATACTTGCAATTTTATAAAAAAGTGAATTTTGCTCAAACACATTATTTACAGATGCTCAATCAGATAAATTAAAACCAGACAATTTGTAAATGATTTAATTGAATTTTAATTATATTTTAGAAGGGATATGGAGAATAAATCCAATGAATAAATATCATTTTTTAAATGTATCTCATATTTTGTAAGAAAATATATTTACAAAATGGAAAACTGCATTATTAAAATACAAACTTTATAGCAGTTTTATGCAAAATAGTATATAGAACAGTTACCTGATTTGTAACAAAAGGGTAGCTCTGTATTCTCAATACAGATCATTTCCCTTTAAATGTTCTTGTCTTTTTAAAATGTTTTACAAAATAATTGTTTCATTATTTATTAGAGAGTTCATAGTAAGTTTTCTTTGCATAAAGTATTCATTTGTCATTTAAAAATACAAAATTAAATGACTATCAATAAAAATGTTTGGAATATTTTTCATTTTAAATTTACTGACTAGTATAGAGCAAACTAAATGAGTTTTGGAGTCTCTCTTTTACATATGTTTTACACTGATATGATTCTTCCTATAAAGTCATAAATAACTTTTACAAGTATAAACACTGCTGCATGAAGAAAAATACTGACCTAGTAATTTCCTAGGTCAGATTTGGATTCAGCAGCACAGAATGGAAATCCAATTATAATCTCTTAAAGAGGGATTTATTTTTCTCGTGGGTCTTATACAGCAACCCAAAGATTGGCATCCTGGGTCTTATACAGCAACTCCATGATAACATCAAAAAAGGACCTTTTAATTTCTCAATCAAACATGTGGCTTTCTTTTTTATGATCGTAAACCAGTTTCTGCATCTCTAATCATTATTTGGGCAAGCCATGGAAAAGACAAAGGAAAAAATGGGAGAGATTTAAAAAAAAAAGCAGCAAAAAGTATATGCAGTATGAGTACAGGTGGATACAAAGAAAGGAACAACAGGCAGGGCCTACTCGAGGGCAGAGGGAAGGAGGAGGGTGCAGAATGAAAATCTAGCCATTGGGTACCATGCCTATAACCTGGGTGATGAAATAATCTGTACACCAAACCCCCATGACACTCAATTTACCTGCACATGTACTCCTGAACCTAAAAGTTAAAAAATAGAATAAAATAATTAAAAAAACTTTTCCTAAAAAGCCCCAAAAGATTTTTCCCATGTTTACTGCATAAGGTGAAATGGAGTCACATGTGTACTCTAGCTCTGAGGCATTCTGGGAGGAGTGAGCATTTTAATTGGGCAAAATACAGCCATTGATGATACATGCTGTGACATGGAAGGATTCTATTAATAAGGAGGAGGGGGACGGGATATCGGGTAGGCCTCTAGCAGTGACTGTCATGCTCATTAACAACTTTGCAATCAGATCCCAAAAGGCTAAGAAACTGTTAAAGACATTGCTTAAAATAGATGTTCACTAGCTTCAGTGAAATCAAAGATAGTGTATCTCATTGTCTTATGATTTAATGTTCTGAAGTAATCATTTGCTGAAAGCTACAACAATTAATGGTGACAAATTTAGAGGGTGAAGTCACGTCTGTGTTTTTACTCCCTATGTTCCAGCTACCTAGGATTGGGCAAGTTATTTAATATGTCTTGGCCTTTATTTTCTAATTTATAAAATATTCAGGAAAAGGAAAACTGCATCAATGAAATTTTCTACAGCACTGATTACTTCTTTTTTCTAATAATGTAAGTAAACAACAAATGCAAAGTAAAAAGTCTATTGATTTTAATAGATATGATAGGCTTTTTTTCGAGCTGAATAGATATTAAAGAAAGTATAAGTACCCTTTTGCAGCTGAAGAATATTGTAAACTAAATTGCACATTGGCTGAATTTACATGTATGGCACGTAAAATATTTGTGCACTATCCGATCATCACTTGAAGACAGAATGTAATAATCTTTAATTCTTCCACATGGTAGAAATGTGAAGGTCCTCCTGGTTGCTGCAGTATTTCCAGCCAGTAGCAATACACACTTTCTAAGTGGAGATTAATGAGTAATTATGTCATTTTACACCTGGAAACAGTCATGGTGATGGACTGATTCCAGATTGCTACAGTAAGAATGAAGAGGTTGAGTCCCACCCCTTGCTTATTTGTTGAATTAACTAGATAAAGTGTTCACCAAAGTTGAGTCCTCCTGCTCTTTCTGAGACTTACACATATAGCTTTATCTGTTTGGTCTTGCAGATATCATTTGCACTCAGGCCAACGGCTGATGTGATGCCAGGCTCAGTGTTCTATGTGGCATTTTCCTAGTACACATAGATATTGGCTCAGGCTGTCAAAGATAAAAACAAATAACCAAAAAACATTAAGCATAAGAAACAGCACATGGGGCTGAGTGTGGTGGCTCACACCTGTAATCCCAGAGCTTTGGGAGGCCAAGGCAAGAGACTAGCTTAAGGCCAGGAGTTCAAAACAAGCCTGGGCAACATAGCAAGATTCCATCTGTACAAAATAATTTTAATAAGAAAAAAGAAAAGAAAAAGCAAATAGCAGGAGTCACATTTCTACACTGTGACTGAACTTCATTAATAACAGCAAATGAGCAGATCGGCTCAAACAACCATGGGAAAAAGAAACTAGACACAAATGGGTGGAAGGAAATACTAGGTAATGCCTAGTAGTGCAAAAGTATTTGCATTGTACTAAACTCTTAATTTTTTATTATTTTATTTAATTCTCCCAACTGCCACAGTTATTTCCCTTTTACACATACAAAGTTAATTATTTTGCCCAAGGTCATAGCACCAAACCCAGGCAGTTGATTTTAAAGTCTATGCATTTAAGTGATATTCTACATTATATCCACCTAGAGATACAAAATAAATTCTAAAAAATAAAACTTCACTAGTGCTGAGTATATATACTTGTTTGAGGAAAACCTTGATAGATTGACCTATCGACATTTATGACTGGAAAATCCCATTGCAGATGCGCACCTGTACACTAGACTTGAAGTTCCAAAGAGATGCCTTTAACAGATATTGTTCACTAATACTCAGATTTATCACGAACATTATAGAAGACATTTAATGGCTACGGTACTCTGAGAGACATGATCTGGGAATATATGTTTCAGGCTGCTGCAGTTCTTCTCAGATCAAATCATATTTCTTGTGAAAATAGTGCAGTGTTAACTGATAGCGCATCAAACCTGAAGGGACAGTTCAATGGGTTTGTGTGCCGAGTTGGAAAAGAAAGTCAATTTTCATTTGCTTTTAGACCCACATTTTGAATCAGACAATATTAGATACAATGGTGGTGTCAGAAGAGATGGTCTCATGTTTGCCTTTTAAATGTTGGTGCTTCATTTTTAAGACCAAGATAAAAGTATGTGAGAAAAAGCACCCAGAGAATACTGAATGGTAATTCTCTCATGATGAATAATATGTCTACCTTAATTGATACTTGAAGAAAAATTGGTAAGTCTCAGCTAAAGCATAGTAACTAAGGGTTGGTTTGTAAAATAAATAAAGAAAAAAGGAAAGGGCTACTATTGCTTTAATAAAGATTTCCTGCCAGTATGTCCTGCTGCAAATTGTAAATGGTGGAAGCACTTCACCTCTAAGCACTGTGAATGGAAACGGAGACCGTTAAGGCAAACTTTAAGATGAAATACTTTCATTTGTGGTATTTAATTTTCTCTGTATTGTGTTTTAAAACAATTAAACATGCATAAGTTATAGTAAATATAAGATCCCTCTTTATCTATGCCTCATTTTGAAGGAAGAAACCTTCCCTTGAGAAGGAAAAGAACAAAGAAAGACAGAGCCTAGGGTACTGTCTATCATGCAATGAAGGGTAGAACAGCTTCTCAGGAGACCAGCTGTGGTTCCCTCATTCAAATGACACACGAGAAGACACTGTCATATGTTTAAGTTTGCTTTTATGTAAGGAACTATTTACTGCTATTCTGCTTAAAATGCTGACCCTTAAAATATTTTATAAAGATCTAACATCAGTGAAACTTTACCCAGCCAATTATAAGGAAGAAGGCTGATTTTTCTGATATTTTGTACAGACATTTTTAAAAATTTTAATGTAAACTTTGATATTGTAATTATTAATAACACAAAAGGATTAGTTCTCATTTTAAGCAGGGAACTATTTGTGTCCTCTGTACTACGTAAACTCAACATAAGATGCAAGAGAAAACTAACATTATGCTAATAGATAAAACTACACATGATCTGTGGTGGAAGGACTGGAATTGCACTATCACTGAAGTGCAAATGTATATATATATTTAAAATTTTGAAAGCTTACACTTTTCTCAGATTTAGTTTAAAAAAGATTCTAGTTTCATTCTCTCCTTTATTGACTGCTGTTTCTTCTACATGACCAAAAGTAGTTTTCATTGTTCATGTTTGGTTTGTTTTGCTTGTAGGTAAAGCTTATTATAATTAAATACATAGAGCCAAGGAAGGGAAAAATTAACAGTTACATAAGAGAATAACGACAAAGTAAGAATGAAGGTCAATATATACTCCAAACATTGATGTTTCTGTCTCCTTCACATACAGATATTGGCCTCGTGTTGTAGCCTTAAACCATCTGATCCAGACAGGTCAAAGCAAGAACTTTTTAAAAAATCTCTCTTCTTTTCAGCAAGTTTTCCTGCTAAGGAAACACATTCTCATCCCTCAAATCACTTGATGTCATACAATAACTTTTAGCTCCTACCCCAAATTGGAAAACAATATTGTGAGGAATAAAATCATTGTAGATTTTACAGGCAATCCTAAATAATCAGGTGAATTACTTTAGATATAATCATCTCTTAGCTTGGAAATTTGCAGATCGATTTCGCTTATCTATTTGCAGTGCAAACAACTTTAAAATATGCATATTATTTGACATTTTCATATCTTTTGACTATGAGAGAAAGAAGGTAAAAGTAGAAAGTAGAGAATCTTCTGTCTATATTTAAGTGATATAATTTCAGTTATATTCATGGCATCTCTAGTATTTATCACATAGTTTTCCATGGAGAAATATCATTTTTAAGTCCGGTCTATTGTTTACTTCAAACTGTGTAATGTATAGTAAACTATTTATGGATAAGATAAATTACACTGCAGCTTTAATTTTTCAGGTTTACAGCTCTCACTTTTGACATAGAAAATGAAGAGATTTAAAATCCATTTCAGGCATGTAACTATAATTTCATAAAATTTTATGCCCCACAATATATAACATGTGATAAAAGATGTGAAGTGCAGAAAATATTCATCATTTACTGCTTCTTCATGGCCACAACTTTGGGCCCTTTAAACAGGGATAAATATTGGAGGAACAGTATTCTTTTTCATTGTTGAAAAGCTTCTAAAATAGATTACAGTAAAATTTAAAATAAAACCAGAGAAAATGCATTATTGAGACAAAGTCAGGACACCTGAGTTTCGTTCCCAGACTCTGAACCTGTTTGCTGCAATATGCTGGACAAATACTTTAATATCCCAAGGTTTAGCCCCCTCATCTTGATTGCTAAGAAGAAAACGATTATTAATAATGTCAAAGAAGATAATATCTATAAAATAATTCATAGGTCTATAGCAATTATTCAAATAGAAAATATTAATGTCATTATTAATAAACAAATAATCCCATTTCTTTTGATTTACATTTTTCTCTTCAAACACACCCAAGTCAGATAATGACGCTTCTATCTACTAATTTTACTCCATGTTATATTTTTCTGTGTTGCTACTGGAGCTTGAACTTGATGTCATCCTTTCTAATCCTGGCAGCCATCAATTCTCAGTTCCTAATGCTTTCTGGTGGAATTTTTCCTCATATAAATGCGGTAACACATTTACATATGAAATCCATTTAATGTAATGTATTTTATCTGAAACCATCAGAAAACAAAACTTGTTTTATTTTTAACTGTTTTAAATTTTATAGGAACATAATATTTTGATTTATGAAACATTAAAAGGCCCCTATAATGAGCCATCTAGCCCAAACAGCAGCAGGTAATTTTATTTGGTGTAATGGAAAGAACCCTGGGCAGAGGACTGGATAACCCAGTTTCTATTCTGATTTCTGTAATTAACTTGCTCTATGGAAGATATTGGGGAAATCACTTAGCCTTCCTGATTCTCAATTTCCTCATTTGTGAAATGAAGTAATTGAAACAATGTTCTCTAAGGAAGTTCCTAGTTCCAGCGGCCTGATTTTATGCCAACAGAAGCCATGCATGAAGACCATTTGGTTTTCTTTTAAAATCTATACTTTCTTCTTACCAATTTATATTACACTAACATTATTTTTGCAATACCTGATCACAAGTATAATTTGGTTTAGGAGCTACCTATGGTTGGGAGGCAGCTGGCATGGCGAGGGCCGATCCCTTCAGACAAGGAATGTGCAAAGCTCTAGAATGGCCAGCTCAAGAATCGTAGTAGAAATAGTTCTAGTACGAGAAAGACATGGTCTACACTTCAAGCAGGCATTGGAAAAAAAAAAAAAAAAAAAAAAAAAAACGTGTGTGTGAACTTATAAGTACCTGAGCCGACTGCTCAAATATCTCATTATTCTCCTTCTTATGAGAAGGTCAATAAATTTCAAGCTTCATTAGCACCAACGTGTACTCAGAACCAACAAATGTTATGCCGACTACTCAGGGAAGGATTCAAGACATAAAATGGGTGGCAATTTTTATATCTGTAAGCATAGCATGATCACGGAAGCAAAAGTACTCAACATTTTATAAGGCACTAAATAAAGCCTGTTTTAAACTAAAAATACAGCAGTAGTTGTGGGCTTTTTTTTATGCAATCAGCATCAAAACTTGGAATGAAACAAAAATTATGTTGAGCACAAAGCGTTTCCCTCAGAAAAGGATAGGAGAGAGGTTAGCTTGGAGTAGCCAAATAGTGGTACCACAAAGTTTCAAGCAGAAGATTTAAATGTGTTCTGTGAATTACGGTGATACTTCCTGTATGTGCCTATGATTATGAATTGGGAAAGGGGAGTGGGGAGAAACTGAACCCTGGCCCCGCATTTTTCCACAGACATTTAGTATAATGAGGTGGCTGCTAAGCTTTCATTTTCAAAAATCCCCTGTTTTAAAAAATGCTTAGGATGGCTGAGTTGGAGAATACTGGCATGGAGCACAGTAAAACTAATGAATCTATACATTTGTTTAAAATTTAATTAACTTCCATTATTTGAATGGCAGAAAAAGAGGCCTATACCCTGACGCATCAGTAGGAAGTACACACCACGTTTCATTTGGCTTTGCATATCAATTTACATGATGAAAGCTCTGTCCTCTATACTGAGCTCACTACACACTAGATCAACAGCCCAGACTTCCCTCCTTCATAAGTTTGGATTGGCTGACATTTTGTGTCTGGAATTGGTTCCTTCCGGTAGGTTCTTGGTCTCGCTGACTTCAAGCACTAAGCCGTGATCGCGGTGAGTGTTCCAGTTCTTAAACGTGGTGTGTCCGGAGTTTGTTCCTTCCAATGTTCAGATGTGTCTGGAGTGTCTTCCTTCTGGTGGGTTCCTGGTCTCACTAACTTCAGGTGTGAAGCGGCAGACCCTCACCGTGAGTGTTACAGCTCATAAAGGTAGTGCAGACCCAAAGAGTGAGCAGCAGCAAGAGCAAAAGAACAAAGCTTCCACAGTGTAGAAGAGGACCCCACTCCGTTGCCGTTGCTGGCTCAGGTGGCCAGCTTTTATTACCTTATTTGGCCCTGCCCACATCCTGCTGATTGGTCCATTTTACAGAGTGCTGATTGGTCCGTTTTTACAGAGTACTGATTGGTGTGTTTACAAATCTTTAGCTAGTCACAGAACGCTGATTGGTGTGTTTACAATCGTTTAGCTAGACAGAAAAGTTCTCCAAGTCTCACCAGACCAGAAGCCCAGCCGGCTTCACCTCTCAATTTCACTTTGACCTAGTAGAAGAAACAGAGTTGTTTCCAACTGTATAAATGATGAAGCAGTAGCAAAACCTGCTGTACTGACTTTGATGTGGAACAAGGTTTCTCTTCCCAGGTTACCTCTGGGGACATAATGATGAACTTGTTCCAAATCTGTGAAACTTGAATACAATGAGTATTCAATAAATGCCAGTTGCATGGAAAAGAAAGTAGGAAATTGTGTTTTGGGGGTCACTTAGGCCGAATATTGTTTTTCTTTTTTGTTGTTGTTCTTTAGAGTAACAAAAACAAATTCAGAGTAAGAGACTGATGAGTACATTGTATGTGGAAAAGTCAAGAATACTTGTTGGAATTGATATGATGTTGTCAGAACTCCTTTCTTCTTTTCTTAATTTTCTTACCTCTGTCTCCCTTTGTGTGTAGTCTCTATTTTCTCCATTTTTAGAAGGGACTCTATTACGTTGTCCAGTGCACAAGATGAGGTGGGGACCATCTGAGTAATGAAGCAACTACTCTTTTTTCTAAAAAGCTGCCCATGATTATTGGCCAGACCTAAGACTCTTGCTCAGCCTGTGGGTAAGGGACAAAATACAGTAATTACCAATATCACTGTATTCACAGAGAGGATAGGTATCAAAACACTGATAAAACGAAGGGGCAGAAGTGTCAACCAGAAATAGTGGAGAGAGGATACTGGCAGGGAAAAATAAATAAGCAAACAAATTAAAATGTATCAGAGAACTATAGCACATAACCGAGAAATAAAAATTCTCTTTACTCTTAAGGCATGATTTCTTTTTAAATGAAGTAATGCAAATATTAGATTTCAGTATTTATCTGTACTAGTATTCTATTGCTGCATTTCAAATTTCCATAAACTTAGCAGCTGAAAATAACCCTTATTTATTAACTCACAGTTCTGCAGGCAAAAATTCAGCCCAGTGTGAATGAGTTCTTTGCTCAGGGTCTCACAAGATTGAAACCAAGGTGTCAGCAGGGCTGTGTTCGTCTCTTGAGGCTCTTAGGGAAGAAGCAGCTTTGAAGATAATTCATATTGTTGATAGAAGACACTTCCTTGCTCTCTTAAGATTGAGGTTTCCTTTGTTACTGCCAGCTGTGAGCTGGGGTGTAGGTAGTTCAACTCCTGCAGGTTGCTTCTCTGCATCCACAGCTTTAACACATGTATTTGCTTTCTTCCAAGCTGGCTGGAGTATGTGTTTTGGACTTCCTTTTCTTACACTTGGAAAAAACTTTCTGCTTTACAGGTCTCATGTGATAGGGTTAGGCCCACCCAAATAATCTTATTTGAAGATTAACTGTGTCATATGACATAGCATAAGCATAGTAATAAAATCCATTGTCCTGACAGTCCTGGAGATTATGCAGGATATGGACACTCAGGGGAGAGAAATCTAGGAGTCGGTTGTAGAATACTTCCTACTACTCTGTAGGTTACATTTCAGTCATAATTGAAAATTCAGGTTTGATTTTGATTTAGTTCAGTATTGAGTAAGCCAAAGTGATATGGTTTGGCTCTATGTCCACCCTCCACCCCCCGCCAATCTCATCTCGAATTGTAATATCCACATGTTGGAGGAGGGGCCTAGTGGGAGGTGATTAGATCCTGAGGGCAGATGTCCCCCTCATCGTTCTGATAGTGAGTGAGTTCTCATAAGATCTGATGGTATTAAATTGTGGCACTTCACCCCTGGCTATCTCTCTCTCTCTCCTGCCGCCATGTAAGATGTGCCTCGCCTTCTGCCAAGGTTGTAAGTTTTCTGAGGCCTCCCCAGCCGTGCAGTATTGTGAATCAATTAAACTTCTTTTCTTTATAAATTACCCAGTCTCAGGTAATTCTTTACAGCAGAGTGAAAATGGACTAATACATCAAGTTTTATGATGTAAAATAATACACTGAAGTATGTTTGGACCCTGGTTAGTCTTGGAAATTCCGTTTATAAGTTCTGTCTGTAACTTACCTTAATAAGCAACCAACGATACATGGAGAAGGAAAAATTGTAAAAAACAGTGGATGATCAGTAAGAAAACTAATTTTTTTTTAATCTCGGAAATAATGCACCTCTATGGTCAATAACATTCATGTGTCAGTTTTAAGAAAATGTTCTACGAACACGTATGCACACACATAATTCCATGGACTCCAAGAATCATTAGGAGAACCTTAATAATAATAATAATAAATTAGTAGCTTCTGAAAAGCAACCAAACTTTAAAAGAAATATTCAACATTTAAGGCCTCAATCAATCTCTACTTAAGCACCTGCTTTCATAATCCTGAAACTCATTTAAAAAACAAAACAAAAAACTTTCTGACCTTTAAAAATGCAACAGCCTGAAATCAATTTATTTCAGTCAGGCATTCAATAGTATATACTTGCTAAAAGCAGTCAAAGTTCAAGTTATAGCATCTGTGACATCTATTTTTTTCGTTTTTGCATTTTTGCCTTCTTATTTTATTTTTTTCTTTTAAGTTAAAGTCAAAATGGAACTATTATCTCTTTGGCAGTTTCTTGGGAATCCTATTAACCTATTGGGAAATAAGTAAACTCTGAGAATGATTCCTTTCTTAATGTGTTTATAATGAGAGCTTTAAAAAAATGATCTCTCACTAACCTGTATTTAGAAACAAGATGTAACTTACTGCATTTCTTACACAGGATAGTTAATATTTATCTTTGGGATTAAGATTACTCATTTTCACACTATGGGGCAGAAAATAAATATTATGTATAAATTATTATGCAAATAAGATAATATTTATGATACTATTACAGGATATAAGACCATGAGATATTAATTCTTAGCAGTAAATTTGACAAAAAAACTTGACTCATAATGCAAAGAAAACAAGCTAAGTTCTTGTATTTATTTTTTCTGCATTTGTGATATTACACATTCAAATCCATTTGAAGTAGTTACTATAGAATGAGGAAAGGAAATAAAAGACTTCGGTAAGGCAGCTTCATGCTTTAACACACTAAGCAATCCCCACAGTAATGGATGCTACAAAAAATAGGTCACCTTCAAACCACCCTTGAAAATAAGCAGGCACTGTAATTTCAGATTGTGTTCTTATGAGCATTGTTAAGAGCATTGAGATTTATATACATATATATAAATGTTATATATTTAACAAATTATATATAACCTATATATATAACAAACATATATATATAAATGTATATATATATTTGGCCTTGTATTTATTTTGTATTTATTTTGCAAAAATTGTGCTTGTCTGAGCAAAAGAAAATACCATTTTTTCATTTTTTTCTCTCACATAAAACACATATAAACATCTTCATACACATGCACAAATCTGTGTAGTTATTAGTTCATTGTGAGAAAGAATGTAGATATTTTAATAACCATTTCTGTTATTAAATGGAGTTACTCTATTACCTTTTTAATATGATGGATTTTATGTCTTTCAAAGCAAATTATGGCACAATGTGCACAACCATAGAGAAATATTTTATTCAAAAAACTGACTCCCTGGGAGCGATTACTAAATTGTGTTTTCTAGTACCTAGTACAATTACTAATGGGCAGTCGAAAGTATTTTTCAATGATACTATTGTTATTAATGCATTCAGGGTAATACAAATCTGGCTTTGCTCAAATTGATGTCACAAAACGAAAACTTGGGTAGTTTATATCTATTGCTAATTCAATTCTCTGAACATAGATTCAGCTTTTTTGGTTTTTTTCTCTCAAGATATTTCAAAAGTTTTTTTTTTTTTCTGTTAATGGCATTGTATTATCAAATTAAAAGTGAGATGATTCAGTTTAAATGCTAGTCCCAAAGACACATGGGGTTAGATGACCTGGTTTAATCTCTGCTCTGAATATTTTTACTTGTGTGTCTTGAGCCAAGTTAGCCTGCCTGTCCCTCAATTTCTGTATCTACAACATGAGAATGCTAATAGAAGGATTGTAATCATAGTGTTTTTCTGAGTATTAAAGTGGGTTTAGACACATAAAGCCATTAGAAAGTTGCCTGGCAAAATATAGAAGCTTGATAGCTTTTTCTACAATCTTATTGAATCCAGTCAGTTTTCTCATGCACATTTATATAAGTTAATATAAATAGAAAGGAATATTGCTATACTGGGCTTATTTGGATATGAAGGGAGAGAAATGAAGGAAAACAAACTGTGAAGCCAAATTCTCTACAGTATTCTCCAAATTTATGATATAAATATTATAGTCTACATTTTACATATGAAGACTCTGAGGTATGAAGAAATTCAGTAATTTACACAATAACGCAAATGTAATAAGTGATGGGTTTCGGATTCTAACCCACAAATATCTGATACTCAGGATCATGGATTTTAACTCTTTTTATGTTGTATACACCCTATATGCCAAACAAAAATTCAAACGACAACAACAACAAAATTTAAAGATGGGCTTGCTATATGTGCATGCATTCATTCCTTTATAAATTCATTAGTTCATTAAACCATTACTGAGCATGGACCATGTGATCTGTGTTTGATCTGGTGAAAACACAGAAATCACTAAATATGGTGTGATTGTGTCTAATTTCATATCCCTGTGAAAAGAAAACTTCGACCTCTAAAGTTAGACCAACTCTGATAGAAATCCACAGCAAATGACAGAAAGAAGGATACAAATTAAATAGGAGGTGGTGGAAAAGTGTACATCAGCCAGAGAAAGAATAAGATTGCACAAAGGGATTTGATATAAATGTATCATATTGCTCCATTATCAAATATTGTGAATTGAACACATCTCTCAACTAAGTTAACATCCATTTAAGGGTAAGAGAAAGCCACTGATAGAATTAGTAGTATCTAAAACAAATTTCAGTGGAAAAAAAGGATTTTATATTATCTCCACTTTGTAGGGTCATTTCATTCTGGTGCAGGTTTTGCAAAAACAAACCATTGATTTGGAAATCATAAATATATTCTAAATTTTAATATAGTTACTTATGTTAAACATAATGTGTTAAAGTTTTAGCATATTCTTTTTGACTAATCATTAGTTACTTATGTTAAACATAATATGTTACATTTTTAACATATTCTTTTGACTAATTAATCATTTCCTTTTTAAACTCAGGGAGAGGCAATGGGGGGTACAGAGTGAGTCAGGAAGGCAGCCTCTGTAACAACCTGAGGACTCATGGTTGGGGAAAGATGTCATCTACTTTTAGTCAAGAGATAAATGTTTTACCTGCTAATAGGGAAACACACCCGAAAGTACAGAGAAAAGTCTGGTCAAAACATTGCATTGCATCTAATAAAAACTAATTAACTGGTTTAAAAGCAAAAGATCCCTTGGTACTGCAAAACTCAATCGCTTTCACAATAAATAGATAAACTGCTTTGTGGGAAGAATTTACTAATACATTGAAGCACTTCCATTAGAAACTACATGTTTATTTGATTTCTTAAAACGTATTTAGGCATAATGTGTGTTCTAATTATTTTCATTTCTTGAAGAATATGTATTCTTATACAATTCTTATTGTTGACAATCTTGTGACTACACTTTTGTCTTTTCTTTTTTCCTTCCTTTCTCTCTATTATGCCTTCTTTTTCCCCTTTTTTCTTCATCAAAATTCTTAAGCCTTCTAAAGTCAATCCTGTCACAATGAAAATACATTAAAATGGCTATAACGTCCAATCCATGAACTTTAGTGAACTCTAAAGACTCCTCAAATATACGCAGATGTATAGGATTCTTACGTTTCTCCTAATTTCTACTAGAGAATCTGTCTCTTATCTCTTCTTCCCCAGCTGTTCCTTCTATTCACCCCATATTAACCCAAGCATGAAGCACAGCCCTAATATTTGTTAAAAAATCCAAAAGCTTGTGAAGTTTTAATGAAACCCTAGAACGTGGAAAGTATTATATCAAACTACAGAAAGTTGAAAATTTAATGTTTGTCTCCCTCTTCTTAAAGGTCCTCTATTCAACCTTTAGACTGACAAACTCCTCATGGCTTGCCTCAATGTCTTACGTGCTTTTCCCACCGCTTTTTTTGTTCTACTTCCAATTTTCTGTTTTTAGCAAACCTTGATGTTTCTGGGAATGTCCATGGATATCCTAGATTTCTTCTTATACCCTGAAAATTAGGAATTCAAGCAATTTTTCCTTATTTCTAATCTACTGTAGGCATTTTTTTTTTTTTTTTTTTTTTTTTTTTTTGAGACGGAGTCTCGCTCTGTCGCCCAGGCTGGAGTGCAGTGCAATGATCTTGGCTCACTGCAACCTCCGCCTCCTGGGTTCACGCCATTCTCCTGCCTCAGCCTCCCGAGTAGCTGGGACTACAGGCGTCCGTCACCACACCTGGCTAATTTTTGTATTTTTAGTAGAGAGAGGTTTTCATCATGTTGGCCAGGTTGGTCTCCAACTCCTGACCTCAAGTGATCCGCCCACCTCAGCCTCCCAAAGTGCTGAGATTACAGACATGAGCCGCAACGCCAGGCAGGCATTTTTCTGATATTGCAGAGCTATTGTCATATCCTGTAACCAAAGTAACCTGTTGTAGTGTTATATGGGGGGAGGAGGGGAGTAGTTTTCACTACTACGTTTGGAAACATTCTAGTCTCTGCTATTTATTTACCTTTGCAGTTACTAATACAATAGGTGATACAGGTGAGGCAGATATCAATTTTGGATCTATTCCCCTGTATGGTGTATTTTTTTTCTAGCTGTCCTTAGATTATTATTTACGTAAGTTTGTCGCAAAGGGCTTTGTGAAGGAGATTTTTTTTCCCTTTCTGATGATTACAAGATCAACTGGGAGAAAAGATGGTAAATAAAACCAATGCACTGAATATTGATCTCTGAAGTAACATGAAAAAGTGATACTGATTCACAAAGAGTTCAGAAACTGCAGATGCTTTTCCCTAGTATGTGTAAACATTTGAGATAACGTGGCGCTCATCAATATACTTAGATGGCAAAAATGTTTGACTTATTAAAATAGTCCCATTAAGAACAATCAAGGAGTTTAATCATAGCAACCAAATTTGCACTTCCCTCAGTATCAGTCAGAAATAAATACAGGAAATTTAAGACTCAACTTTTCTGTTCTGATCAAGAGATCCTATTTATGAAGGAAAGATTATGAAAAGTCTCAGTGATGGACAGAAAGCCAAATAGTTGCAATTGTTGATATCTTTGTCTTTTTCAGATGATGCCTTTAGATCCAGCATTATCCCTCTTGTTCTCTCTTGAGAAAGAAGCTGTTTCTGAGACATACAGCTAACAATAGAGACTGTGGAACAAAATGCTTGATTCATAGGTCATTTTGTCTATACTGCAAATAAGAAATGTGAATATATCAAATATTTTTAAAGTTTTACTCCCAATGTATTACATTTTACTAATACATCATGTATACTTTGCATGTATTAAAAATTAGAATTTTTAGCTAGATTTAGCTTTTCTTTTTGAAATCGTACTTATATTTATCTTATCGTAATTGATTTGATTTTATGTAGCCAGACATTTTATACCATTAAACAAAAGGGTATTTAAAATAAAAAAATAAAGGAGAAAATAAAACATAAATAGAAGTGACTATGATAATAAAGACTAACAGAAAGAAATTAGGTTAGATGGAGTTTTACATTCGAGTTCAGATTTGGGTTCAGCTGCTTTATTGGGATTATTAAGTGCATATGCAAATAAATTAGTGTAGGACATATAGTTTTTAAAATTATATTTTGCACTTGGGACTATTTGAACTCAGTTAAAAAGATTTTATTACTAGATTTTTCATGATAGCATATCAGTGGTTAGTCAAAATTAAATAAAACTTATAAGGCATTTAACATAGTATATAATATTCGATAAGAGCTAATATTGGAAATAATGAAATGCTAACAATAAATTAAGAAATGATATGTAACTATAGTAATGTATTGTTATTAATAGCTGATTATTGGCATTTATTTTTAAATCTAGACTAAATCGTATACATTTATATAGTATTCTGAAAAATAACTACATTGTTTGAAATGATACATCAAATTTACTGTTATTCAAAATAGAGATTCCATTACTGAAAATTTGATATGAATGGTTTATTGTCTGGAAATTTTTTCCCTAAAACCCAGCTTGTGAAATATGTTTTACAATGTTGGAAAAGTAGGAAAGAAGTTATTTTAACCTTCTCTCATATTTTTCTTCCCAAATCCTGGGTCCAAGCCAGTGACCTCTCCAACTTTTATAGAAGTTCTTATTCACATATTGTGACACTTTGAAATGAGAGATTATAATTGGAGTGAGCTAAAGTTGCAAAATATGACAATCTGAGGAAATAGGATGGCTTTTATATGTAGCCATGAAGGCAATATTCAAGCAAAGTAAGAAAGATAAAAGACAGCATTGGGGGAATAACATATTTTTTTTCTATAACAGGATGTGTAATATATCCTAGCACATAAGCTTTTTTGCTCTTGAGCATTGCAAATATTCTTTTTTCTTCTGTGAGCTTCTTTGGCATACACTGGGGATGCATGGGGGCCTTTTTGAGATGGATTTCTGCTCTCTTCAATAGAAGGTGAAATATTTCCAGATGATAAATAGCTCTGGGTCTGTTACTCAGGCAGGGGAGTTCTCAAAGCACATTGGGCTGTTAGAGGGAATTCCTAACCTTGTAAAGTGGTATCCCTCTTGCTCATATAGCAACAATTAAACTAGGGAGAACAAATGAGTCACCTCAGGAGAGTAGACTAGCATAGAATGTTAAATATTCTTGGGCATTCGGTGGCTTTGAAAAGAGAACAATTTGCATAACATTACTCAGGCAGAGTTATAGATCATCTTTGGGTCTGATCTTCTTTCATCTATAAATACCTTAAGTATAATCTAATGGCTTTGTAGTGAATATAATGGCCACTATGATGTTCTTGAGCTCAGAATAAGTATTAGCTTGAAACTAGGCAACTTCAAAAAAGGAAACACTAAGTGTTTTATAAGTTTACCAGGAAGAATCTAGCAAAAGTAGTTTGTGTTGTACATAATAAAATTATTTCAGACAAAGAAACTCACGCAAAATTTTCTTATACTCATATTGACTGGTTTAAATGAGTAAACCCTGTGTGTAAGTAAACAAATCAGTGACAATATTACTTTAAATCTCAATCACTAACTACTAAACCATTCTACATCACTTATAATCATAGATTTCAAGAATGGTAATGGGTCTTACCACTTATATGTGATTATTATAACAAAATGTACTGAGAGTATCCTGTACAAGAAACATATCCCTTACATCTGAATGTGTGTATAGATCTATCAGAAGATTCTGTAACTGCTTTTATAAAGATGTCCGTATTAAGTAGGACAGACCTTTATGTGATTGCTTTTGTCCATATATGTTTTGAGACTGAAGAAGAGCGATAGTAAAACAGATAGAACAATAAAGATTTAGACCACATGTCTGGAAGTTTCTCATTCCAGCAGAAAAATTCAAAATGGGGACCTAGTTCCATGACAAAAGATAATGACAAATAAATTGTTAATATTTAAATATGTGATCCATCTATATTAAGGAAAGTAAAGACACTAATCCAAATGCAATGCTTGAAACTTATGGGGCTTCGTGTTCAGAAAACAAAGAAAGAAAATGCTACAAAGATATTTGGAGAGAGAAGTGGGGGTATTGAATATGACCCATTATTAAGTGATAACAGGCATTTTAATTAATTTTCTTAACTGAAACTGTGACAATGTGGTTATGCAGGAAAAGGTCTTATTTTCAGAAAACTGGTGCTGAAATATTGTGTAGTGAATTGGTATGATGTTTGTAAATTATTTGCAAATCATCCATATATGAAAGTAAAGCAAATACAACAAAATGTTGAGAATGGTTTAATCTAGATTTTGAGAATATAGATTTTCATCATATAATTACTTCTATTTTTTCTGTTGATTGCAAGTTTTACTTAATATGATTTTGGTACAGGGAAATGGTGTACCTCCCAAACACCTTTAACTCCTCTTCGGAAAGCATCAGTAATTTATAACAGAGGAACAAAAATAACAACCCGTAATTCTGATGGGAGGGAGTGGCATAGAGGTCATCAGAGAAGATGGCCAATTTCTGTAACATTGCACATAGGTGAAAGATTGGTGACTGTTTAAACAAGCCCAAAGGAGCTACATGCGAGTGTTTACACTGAGAGGGCTCCAGCAATGAAGGCACAGCTCTGAAAGAGACCCAGATTTGGCAGTGATTCCAAAGAAAAGGCATAAAATTTGCCAGGAAAAACACAGAGATGAACTAATATTCTATATACAGAATTTCTCCCATATGCTTGAGAATGCATAAAATATAGGCATTAATGACCAGAATGTAAACAATAAAGAAATAATTTTAAAAGACGTTATTCTGTAGGTAACCTGCAAAGAATTAGGACAGTGTTGGGACACCATTGTGCTTAGAACACCCCCAACCGAATATCTGAAAGTAGAAGAAATGATTGATTCTTTTATTCATTCTAGGCCAAAACTCTGATCAATAAATACAACTCAAAAACTCAAAACTTCAAATTAGGTTATTTATTCTTAAATATGAACAGGAAACTCAGAGTTATCAGGTATTCAAGAAAAGCTCGCCTTATGAATGGCGAAGACTCAAATTCCAAACACAAAAGTAATCCTGAAGGAAGAGATAATTTAAAGAAACCACACAAACACAGACTAATTAGAGTTTTCAAAAAGTTTCAAGAAATCCCACAGTTCACAAAATAAGAATATGATTATTTTTAAAAGAACACTTAAAGAAATCCTGAAAATGAATGTATCTGCGGTATATGTGTGTAGGTATGCACAATTTGTGTGTATTAAATTTGAAAATGAAGAGCATTACCAATAAATAAAGTAATATAAATTTATTGCTTTCACACAATAGTCCAAAAGATATGACAATAAATAATATGAGTGAAATATATATGATACATTGAAGATGTGTAAGGTCTAACATTAAACAATTGAATTCTAGGTTAAGAACACAAAAAACCAAGGACAGGAAATAATCGTGGAAATAATCATTGATAAAAATTTCTGAGTGCTGAAGGAAAATAGTTTTCGAATTGAGAAAATTTACTAAGTGTCCAATCTCAAATAGGAAACATAAACACACATAAACTCGCACCTGGAGGCAATGTTCAAAACACAAACCCAAATAAACACATACTCGGAGACAGTGTTCTAAATAATTAGACTACATTCATAAAAATAAGACTATAAACACTGGAGAAAGAGAAGATGAAAATAAAAAGGGAAAAAAGAGGCTCTTTACCAACAAAGAAAATATAATCAGATGGATACCAAGTCCACTCTTGGTTTCTAGAAGATAATGAATACAATTTCAGATGCAAATGTATAAATTCCTTAAAATGTATGAAGAGAAATGATTTCCAATCTGGAAATATATGCCCACATGAAAATTAATTATATATGAGGGTAAAATAAAGGTATACTGTGATATGAAAAGACTCAAGTAAAATGTCTAACATACACTCATTATTAAGAAATCATATAAAATTAGTGCAAGACAACAAAATAGTAAACCAAAGTAAATATAACATCCAAGAAAAAGTGTTTCCAAACCAGGAGATTAATAAAGTAAATTCCAGGTTGACAATTGTGCAGATGTTCTTGTTTGGATTAGCAAGAAAGAAGCCTCCCAAAGAGAGGCATGTAGTGAAAAGATTTGATGTCAGACCTCAGAAGTGGGATGAATCTAAGGATATTAAAAAAATACATAAATAAAACCACTAACAGACAAAGATGTTACGGAAAAAAAATCCATATGCAAAATAAAACTACAGCAATTACATAGGAAATACAAATTATTTGGTAATAAAACAAAAAGGTTTACATTGTTCTAATTAGTGTAAAAAGAGTATTAGTTGTTCTCCTTTTTTTAATGTTTTAGCATCAACTGATAGACAAAACTTAGAAGGCTTATTTATCAGTAGGTGTTCTCAAAGAAAAAGAACAAATTAGATGTTGATATAGCTATAGATGTAGATGTAGATATAGTTATAGATATATAGATTATAGATATAGAGATATTTAGAGAGATCTCTCTATATATAGATGTATCCATATATAGAGGATATATATGGATCTCTATATATGGATATAGATGTATCTCTCTATATAGGTATAGATATCTATATAGATATATCTCTCTATATAGGTATATATATATCAATATATATCTCTATATATCGATATATAAAGATTTGTTATAAGGAATTGGCTCACACAATTATAAAGGCTGACTAGTCCAAAGGTATGCAGTTGGCAAACTGTAGACCCAGGATAGCTTCTAGTTCTAGTCTAAAGACGGGCAGGCTCAAGACCCAGGAAAAGCCAATGTTTTAATTGAAGTCAAAAGGCAGAAAAAAAATTCCAGTGTCTCAGCTTGAAGGCAGTCAGGCAGGAAGAGATCTCTGTCACTCACGGAGGGGTTTGGCTTTTTGATCTATTCATTCCCACAGCTATTGAATGAGGCCCATCCACATTAGGGAAGGCAATCTATTTTATTCAGCCTACCGATTTAAATACTAATCTCATTCAGAAACACCCACAGAGGCACACCCAGGATAATGCTTGACCAAATCTCTGGGCAATTTATGGCTCAGTCAAGTTGACATATAAAATTAACTATCAGGCTTATTTTTAAAAAGAGGCCTGGCCACACAGGGTGTCTCACACCTGTAATCCCAGCACATTCAGAGGCATAGGCAGGTAGATTGCTTGAGCCCAGAAGTTTGAGACCAGCCTGGGTAGTATGATGAAACCTCATCTCTACAAATAAAAAAATAGAAAAATTAGCTAAGCATGGTAGTCTGTGCCTGTAATCCCTGCTATTCAGGAGGATCACTTGAGCCCAGGAGGCAGGGGCTGCAGTGAGCTGAGATTGTGCCACTGCACTGTAGCTTGGGCCACAGAACAAGACCCTTTAAAAAACAAAAAATACCTAAGGCCTACTTCAGAATTTTTTAGGACAGATTCTGTATAATACAGATGATGGAAGCTGGTGGGGGACGGGGAGAAGAAACGGAAGGAGATGTAAGGGGAAGCGTAAAGGTGTTAATGCTATGATCCTATGAAATAGAGAAACCACAGATACATTCCAATGTCAAAAAAACAACTGTAAACATTGTATTGAAGGGTGTTAGGGTGATGGTTATTTGTATCTACAACCTACTTTTAAATGCATCAAAAATTAAGCTGGGTTAACAGATAGACAAATGGGTAGAAAATAATAAAACAATTATAAACAGTATGTAAAAAATATATAGACTAGGAGGTAAGTATACAGATGAATACTATATACTTTTATTATGAATTTGAAAATTTCATAATAAAATATTGGAGGCAAGAAGAAAAGGATACATTCTGAGTGAACTGAAATTTAGAAACAAAGACACTCAGATATCACGTAGTGTTTTATTGACAACACAGAGAATAAACAGTGGTACAGTTTTACTTGGACAAGGCAAGGGGTATGCAGTTTGGAAGTCAACAAATATTATTCGAATTTATAATTAAAGAACTACTATAACATTTAATCATTTAGCCAATTTTATATATGTATTTTTATAAGAACTGAAACAGAAAGAATGAAAATAGAAACAATTAAAAATGTCCCCAGCTGGCTAGGAAAAGAAAGAGTATGGTTTAGGATTATAAACTCTTCGATTCCCTATGATATTTAGCAATTTAATTGTATTACTTTGATTAAAATGTTTTTGATCAGTTTAAACTGATGTAATAAATTCATATTTATTGATACAGAAAAATATGATATAATCCATCTAAAAAGCAAGTTACAAAACAGTGTACAGTGTACCATAGTACCTATGAACACAATTAGTGAAGTAATTTGCAGAGCTATAATACCAAATCAGAAATTATTTTGGTAATGAATTTATGATTTTCCCCGTTTTCTGATTTTTTTCCAAGATCTCATATACTTTATTCTCAGAAAACAAAAGACAAAACCCCACACATACACAAAAATAAACGAGTAAGTTCATTACAACCCCAGAGGCTAAGTCAGTGGGAAAAGAGGGAAATGAATGGTTATGAGCATAAACACAGGGACAAATAAAAGAAGTTTGGAGCACAGAGAACAATTCACAAATCAGAAGTCATTTTAAAGGACACAGAAATCATGGTTTTAAATATCATTCCATAAGCAAAGAGAATATTAAAATCATTTTTTGGAAAATTCCTTAAAAAATGTTTTGTAATAACTTTTTTATTTTTTACCCTTCTCATCACAACCATCCTCATTACCTCCATAAGAGCCATATGTGGTAACTGTCCAGGGTTGTTCATCTCTACCTCTCGCCAGGAAATATACTGAATTGCAAGAATTAGGTACTACAAAAAGATGCATATTTTATATTAAGCAGTTACATTTAGAAGTAAACTGGTAACTTGATGGCATTTCTATAGCATATATATATATATATGCCATACATATATGTATGTATGTTTTTTTTTTTTATTATACTTTAAGTTTTAGGGTACATGAAGTGGGCGAAGGACATGAACAGACACTTCTCAAAAGAAGACATTTATGCAGCCAAAAAATACATGAAAAAATGCTCATCATCACTGGCCATCAGAGAAATGCAAATCAAAACCACTATGAGATACCATCTCACACCAGTTAGAATGGCAATCATTAAAAAGTCAGGAAACAACAGGTGCTGGAGAGGATGTGGAGAAATAGGAACACTTTTACACTGTTGGTGGGACTGTAAACTAGTTCAACCATTGTGGAAGTCAGTGTGGCGATTCCTCAGGGATCTAGAACTAGAAATACCATTTTTTTTTTTTTACTCATGTAAAAAACACATATATCCACATGTGGGTTAGTAGTAGTATTTGTTGAACGCAACTTTTGGTTTTCACACAAATCCACCTTTTCAAAAATCAATTGTTCCTTCTCCCAACATACCCCAGGCTGGCAAATGACAAATGAAAATAAAATCCCTGCTGGAAATAGTGGTATAAAAAGCATTTTCCATTTTATGTGCACTTTTCAACCCAGAGAAAATAAGAAATTTGTTTTATTTTTGTGCAGTAGTTTCTAAAATATAATCAGAGAGATGCTAGTAAACATTTAACTTTAGATTAGCTTTCTCAAAACTTTTAAGCGCTGGAATGAAAGATTTGCTTACATTCTGAAGCTGGAGCAGGGTATCTTTTTTAAGCCTTCTTTGGCATCTCATTTTCACGCACCATCTGAGATGACTTGGAAAACACCAGAAAATAACAACACTACTTCCACAAAACAACTGCCTGGACAGTGCCTATTTCTACAGCCATCATTTATAGAACTCTTTTTCTGGGGAGAAATTTTATTTTAAGTGTCAATACTAAAAGATGATATATTTGGAGTTGGCTGCTTCAATCAGTAAATGTAGTCAGCACCGACTCAGAAACAGCTTATTTTTAATAATTGGAAGAAGAAATATTTCTAGCTGTTAGTTTTAAATGGCTACAAAGGAAAGAAATTATTTTTGTGGAATTATTAGCTTGCCGTATGTGTAGATTAAAAAGGCTGTGTAAAAATGGCATCATGTGATTTTTTTTACAGTGAACATGACCCAAAAATATGGAAAAGACTATGAGTTCTTTTTATCTGTAGCCCTCCTTCCTTCTTTGTGCAAATGAGGCTAAGAACTTCCTTCACATTGTAAGCAAAGCCTGAATCCCATTGCTGACATATTTGAGAAAGCAGTTTCATCGATAGAGATCAATTTCCGGAATCACTAAAAATTCAACATTTTCTAAGATTCATAAAAATTATTATAGCTTTAGTCTTGACAGTTGCCTTTTTATTTTAAGGAAATAAACCCCAGAAAACACATAAACACGTGCGTATACATACATACACACACGCACATTCACCACACAGTTTATGAAGGAATACAGAGTGCCCATTGGATCATTCAACTTCACTGAATGAATATGCAGAAATTTAAAAAAGTAATTTTGAAAAATTTCAAATGATACTGAAAAATAATTATGGTATTTTGTTTTAAAAATCTTGACTCATTTATTTATATAGTGTGTATATATATAGATAGATACAAGCAGAGAAATATACATCAATATAAATGTGCAGTAAATATGTATTTATATATATTTACCCTTTCAGTTATATATTTACATAACTGAAACATATAAAAATAACAAAGAAGGGCAGGGCGCAGTGGCTCATGCCGATAATCCCAGCCCTTTGGGAGGCTGAGGCGGGCGGATTATTTGAGGTAAGGAGTTTGAGACCAGCCTGACCAATATGGTGAAACCCTGTCTCTATCAAAACTACAAAAATTAGCCTGGCATGGTGGCATGCGCCTTGTAGTTCCAGCTACTCTGGAGGCTGAGGCAGGAGAATTGCTTGAACCCGAGAGGTGGAGGTTGCAGTGAGCCGAGATCACGCCACTGCACTCCAGCCTGGGCAACGAGAGCGATACTCCGACTCAAAAAAAGAGAAGTTATCTCTAGGTAAGATCATGATGGAAATTTTCATCTTACTTTATACCTTTCACTGTTGAAATTATTTTACAGTTGAAGTAAAGGAAATTTTATAATATCCAACAAGAGCCAATGTCATTTATTTAATATCAAAATTAATATTGGAAAAATGTCTATACTTTAGGCTACCACCCATCTGCCTAATTAATCAGCATTAACACTTAATTTTAAATATTACCTGTCAACGCAGATCACTGAATGTGATCTCCTTTAAGGTATTATCATGTAATAAACTGCTACAAAAAGTCTAATTCTCTCACGAGTTTTATAGTCATCCACTTCATTTACAGGTCAACCTTTTAACGTATTTTCCCATATTTTTTTCTGAAGCTTTAATCTCTGCAAAGCCCATCTTTAAATTTGAAGGAAAAGGTAGAAGAGTGAGGAGCAGCAGTAATTAACTTGAATTTGGAACTTGGATATAACTAAAGACACATTTTGCTTCTTCATTTTTATGTCAGTTTGCAAAGGAAACAGTTATGATTTTAGCTAAATACAGAAATTTTTGTTTTGTTTTTCTTTTTTCTTTTTAAAATTCTACTTGTATCACATTTCAAAACCTACTCTGAATTTTCACTCAGTTCCCACAATATTACCATATATTCTTTGAGCTGTTGGCAAAATGGATCCATTTTATAAAGTCATGCCTTTTGCATTGAGCTTTTGCCTGTCTCATATATTTAGATAAATTTGAAAGCAAAAGGAATACCCACTGTGTTGAATATCTTTAATAGCATGGTTGAAATTTATAATTTGAAATTCATAAGTTCAAAGAACATTTATCTACTGCTTGATTTTATGCTTGAAACTTCCTATGCTTCACAGCAGTTTTTTTTAATAGGTGGACAAAAATCCTTCCTCCTATCATTCATAACAATTTTCTTTATACTTAAGTAAAATATACAGAAACTTTTAAAGAAACATCAAAATCTTGTTCCCTCTTATTGTTGCCACATTATTTTTATTATATTACCCAACCAGGTTTTTATGGTTTTGCTTATACTCTCATACAAAACACTTTTAGAACAAATATTGAAGGAAATGCAGGGTCACAAAATGAATAAGTTTACCTTAATAACATTAATATGAACAATGATATTATTTTATTGAACTTAAAGCACGCTCTTGAGCTTAAGAGCAAAGATGTAGCTACAGTTGAACTTGTATTTATTTGGGCTATATTTGTGCTTTTAATTACTCATACTAATACACAGGAAGCTTATTTGCAACAGGATATTTATATAATTTAAAATATTTTCAGAGTTTTTGTGTGTGTGTTGAAATGTTAAGAAAACAGAACTCATTCTTAAGCAATGATTTGCAAAGAGCAGTGCTCATATGCAGATTTTTAAGGCATAGCCCAAATGGTTAGAAATGCTGCAAAAGTTTATTTTTCTTTTGGGTGATCTGTTGTCTGGAAAAAGCTGTTACATGTAAAAATTTGGATACTGAAATCAAATGGCTATACCCAAATGAGCAAGAATAGTTTAAAACATTTAAATCAACATCTGCATAAAAATTAATGTAAATATTATTTATAAGACTATGTTATGTATATATGTATATATAATTATGTATAAGAATATATTTATACAAATATATACTACTAGAAAATTATATATGATGCACTATTTTATTTTATGTAATATTTTATGTATATATTTATTTATTTACACGTAATTTATATACGTTTAAGACTGTGTCCATTTTTCATTTATTCTTGGTCTCCAGTTTGAACAACACTGCCTTACGGCATTACACTGATAATTCTCTCTACTCTTTAGTTCTCTTCCTTATCGCTTATTCATGTGTATCTTATTCCATACTATAACATAATGTACCATACATGTGTTGAATTTTAAAATAAATTAGTAGAATTTCAATGCTTTCCCATATTACTCAACATAAATATTCTATATATAGAATGAATTGGAACAAGCTATTTGTGAATCTGAAAGGATAATCAGTGATTCTACCAATCATAGTGGTAAACTCATTCAAACTCAGCCTGTTAAAATGAGATGCTCTGCCCTATATCACTGAAAACCTCTTGATTTGCCAGATTTTTCCCTTCTTTACAAATGAAAATGCTTAGTGTTTTCTGAGTTCCTTTGCACTATCTCCCACTGGATTCAGGTCATTGATTTCATCTTCAGAACACTTGGAAAGTTTATTTTGTGGTGTTTATGAGCTAATTTATTTTTATTGCAATGTTTATTTAAAATGAAACAATAAGTACACTGAAGTTTTGTGCATTTCATTTTATGAAAATGTTATCCCAAAGGGATACAGAAGAACTAAATACAAATTTTCAAAATTTGTTGGTTTTTTTGCCTGTTGCTATATCTGAGGTTGTACTTTTGTTCTGATCTTCGTAACACCTCAAAAAAAAATGGGTTAAGAGAAGGATGAACAGAAGAATAGATATGAGATCTATCTGATAAGGCAAGCAGATTAATAGACGAATGGAGGAATGTTTGGATGTATAGGTATATATGCGTTCATCGCACAGTTTTCAACTTTTTGTGTTGAAATTTTTATAAAAAGAAGTTGGAGAAATAAAAAACGAGAAAACAGAACCATAAGATTTTTATTTAACATTTTTGATTAAAGGAATTGTATTGCAAATTATGACTTTTTAATTTGGCACATCCTTTTAATGGTGTTCTTTCTTTGTCCTTCTCTTTCTCTTCCTCTCTCTCTCCTTCTCTTCCCTAAAGCTCCATTCCGACTTAGACAAGGGAGAGGGCACTGTGAAATACACCCTCTCAGGAGATGGCGCTGGCACCGTTTTTACCATTGATGAAACCACAGGGGACATTCATGCAATAAGGAGCCTAGATAGAGAAGAGAAACCTTTCTACACTCTTCGTGCTCAGGCTGTGGACATAGAAACCAGAAAGCCCCTGGAGCCTGAATCAGAATTCATCATCAAAGTGCAGGATATTAATGATAATGAGCCAAAGTTTTTGGATGGACCTTATGTTGCTACTGTTCCAGAAATGTCTCCTGTGGGTGAGTAGGCAAATCAAAATTCTGTGAGATACAATGAGACCTCTTCAACATTGACTTTTTGCAGGTTGATGTAAACATCTTATCTATCATCTAAAAGAATATTTTTCAATTCTAGAAAATACAGTTCTTTTCATTTATTTTTGTAACTTTTTTGTTTTTCTTTCTGCTTCATTATGAAGATAAGTACAGGAATATATAACATTAGTTCCTGTTTTCCACCCTGTGAATTTACCTGAATTCATAGAATCCTTGCATGCTTTAAGCAAAAAATGTATTTTGTATTGAAATTGATTGTTATCTCAATTCCAGACACCTATATAGTGCTGGAGACACCTACCCTACACCACAAAATGCCAGACAGTAATTCCTAGATCAAAGTAAATTATCTAAAGCATGTGTCACATCTGATCTGGAAGTGGTCCGGAAACAGGTGTGATGCATCTTTTGTAGCTGTAAATAGAGATTCTGGAAGGGTAATACTGTTTCCTTTTCAGGGTAAATAACCCATACTTGTTGTG
This sequence comes from Homo sapiens, assembly GCF_000001405.40. Taxonomy (NCBI): domain Eukaryota; kingdom Metazoa; phylum Chordata; class Mammalia; order Primates; family Hominidae; genus Homo; species Homo sapiens. The sequence continues at coordinate 21,974,572 of NC_000005.10, read as the reverse complement.
CCATCAAGCCAAGCAGCAAATGAATAATGTCATGAAAACATTATTAGAACAAATTAACAAATTACAATTACAATTATCAAATTAACAATTAGAATATAGTAGCACCATCATTCTAAAAATTTAAATTTGATATAAATATACATTTCCATATCAGCCTAAATTTACAAAGTCCTATAATATGTAGGATATAAGGTCAGTAAGTTAAGAATTCCAGCTTTAAGGACAATTTTAAATTATAATTTTTATTCCTCAGTCACCACTGCTAATCCTTCAATTTATTTCAAAGTAACTTCTGGTTTTTATTACATTTGGAAGATAAAGCAACTTATCACATGTAGGTTACAACTTAAAATTCGTGTATGAGCCATTGCTTATATTTTCTAAATCTGACATGACCCAGGGGGTTTCTACTGCTCCTACCACCACCCAGGACTTGTGATGAAGATTGTGCACGCTACCCTGAGGGCAGAAGCAGGTTAGTAGCTGTAGGAGCTGTCACATGGATTTACTATAATGCACTTGAAATTGTGTATGTGACCTTATCAGGCATTTAAGGACCATAATCTCTCCTTGACCTAAGAAATCAGCTTGAAGTAATTCACTTAGATTTCAAATTTTAATGTGGATACCCAAGGCTGCAAATCTGTTATTCAGTACCTGCTACACTTTTGGGGTTGCCTGTTTTATGCACTGTTATTATTGCTAGAAATTTAGAAGTCCAATTGGAAAGAAGCATATCTTGTTAGAAAGTATTCCCAGAAAATGAGGGAGGCTACATTTTAACGGTGTCTTGATTTTACAGGGAGAAAAATAAAGTTAATATTTTGAGGAAAAAATAAGGCTTTTAAGATGACATGCTATATAGTAGACAAATAGTTTAACTCGGTGCCTACTTCATGTACACTGGATGTGTTAACATGAATTTATGACCCTCAGTGACTTTTTAGTACCAAAACAGCTTCCTTAAAGCAAACACACACACATGCCTCTACAGTATTGGAAAATTCCGTCTCCTTGGATAAAACAATTAGGATTTTTCTTGTGCCAACTATAATAACTAGGGCTGCAGAGTTGGAGCCTTCGTGTAAGGAGTTTGCAGATCATATCCAAAGAGAGAAATATATTTGGAAAGTCAAAAGTGTAGGTAAGTGAGAAAGCAGAGTAGTTTCAGCTTTTGCAGTTGGAGTGGGATATAATTTACTGTGTTGTCATAAGATACTGGAAAGATCTTTGGAAGAATAGGTTCTTAAAGTGTTTTCTCATGTGCCCTTACTGAAATTTCCCATTGGGCCTTCAAGACAACTCCAGTAAATACTTAAATTGATTTTCAGTGCACTGCTTTCTTTCATTTTTATTTATTTATTTTGAGACTGGGTCTTGGTCTGTTGCCCTGGCTGGAGTGCAATGGCCCAGTCTTAGCTCACTGAAGCCTTAAATTCCTGGGCTGAAGAGATCCCTCCACCTGAGCCTCCTTAATAGCCAGTCATGTGCCACTCTGCCTAGCTATTTTTTTTTTTTTTTTTTTACTTTTTGTAGAGAAGGGATCTAGCTATGTTGCCCAGGCTGTTCTCAAGTAGTCCTGGCCTCAAATGATCCCTCCACCTTGGCTTCCCAGAGCACTGGGATTACAGTCATGAGCCACCCTCCTGGCTCCTTTTTTTTTATTTTTAATAACAGAAGGGTATTTCTTTTGAATGTGAAATTTTACCACATGGTATGAATTAGTCCAAGTGTTTTTATACTAAATTTACATAATATACACTTTTCAAGTAAGTACAAAGAGGTATAAACACTGCTTATGAATTGAATGTTAAAAAATAAACCTCTATGCATTACTTTTGTCTTTCCCCATAATCTCACATATACACATAAAACAAAAAACAAGGAGACCCAATTATAGTTGTGGTATCTGCTGTTTCTGCCTTGAAATTTCCAACTTACAACTAAGCAACAACTACTGTGCATCCAGAACTTACATCTATGTTCCTAGAGTACTCGAACCCCATTCTCAAGTGCACCCTTCTTACCAGGTGGAAATAGTTCACTGCTGTAATAATCTAAGAAAACATTATGTTTTTCTATACTTTTTTTTCTCTCATATAATCGAGGCAATTCTCCCTCTGTATCATTTTCCTGAGAATACTAAAATAATTTTTAATCAAGACCAGATGGAACTTTGTATGGTATATTGACAGTATACCAATTGTTGTGACGAATCTTACTGCCTGTTGTAGATATCAGTGTTTGAAGTATTCCCTATGAAATAACTTTTCTGTCCCAATAATTGAGAGTGCTTCTGTTTCATTTCCAAAAAAAGGGAAGAATTAATCAATTAAAAATACATATAGTGAAATAACCTGTTTTGTAACATAAAACATAAGATGAAGAAATATCGGAACATTGATATGAAGTTTAACAGTAATGGATTATATATCCAGAAATATGAACAAATAAACCTGCAATGAAAATTTACTAATATTACTAATTTTCACTTGTGTAAAGTGAACATTACAAAGAACATATTGTACAAAGGGAGAATGGTGGTGGGTAGGATGAGTCAAGATTTCAGAGGAAAATCAATATTTAAGACTTACAGCACTGTGGAATATATTTAATTTTCCTAAAGTTGAAGAAAATTCCAGTGAATCTATGAATTGTTTAAGAGAAAGATCACTCCGTTACTGACTTCTGTTACATCTAATATTCCAGGGAAGTAATATTTAGAGATAAAAAGCTTTTACTCTGACCTCCGGAAATTACTTAATGATCCAGATACTCCCAAAGTCAAAGCAAATCCTTGGAGACAAGTTTGGACTTTATGAATGTGGACTTAATTCTTTAAGATCACTAGAGCAACAATAAATTATAGGAATGTACCCTCTTTAATATCTGATGATTATGCATAAGTGGGGTGTGCAGTTTTAAGTTACTTTTCCTACAATGCTGACAGGTTTAGAGTGTTAAATCCATACTCAACTTGTATTATCTTCCCCTGCTTGAGCTATGCCACCTTGAGTCAGCTGATTTGACTATTTATAATTAGATATCTAACCTATGATATGATATAGTAGATGTCAATAGTGACTCATGATTTATGTAGTAATTCTTACCATTTTCTAAGCAGTAGTCAGGTGCCATGTGATCTAACTAAAGATTTGTATTTCTTATTTTACTTAACAATTACAGTAACCCCAATGCAGTATTATTCACTGTTGGATTTTTTTTAATGTGAAAACTTAATAACCCCTGTGGATAAGAAAGTAAGAATGATTCTTAGTTGCTTTAGAACCAAATTAGTCAGAATTTAATATACCATTTTGTCTAGGTGTCATGCGGCTAAAATATCTTTGAGAAAGTTAAACTTAGCTTTCAATCTCAGATGATCTACTTAAGAATTTGGAAAGTTTATATTATATTATTTGAGAATGGGGATTCTTGCTTAAACAAAACCTGAAGGATGGGCATCTTTCATTCAATATCTTAAAAAGAAAGTTTAGCTGACATTTAAATAAGAAAAGATACACCTAAAATAAAGTAGAACACTGGTTTAATAAAAATAGTGAACAGGTACTCCCTTGCCTTTCTTTTTTTCTCTCAACTCTATTTTATTTTACATGAAGTTTGGGGAGAAATGCTAAGATGAAATTTTTGGTGGAGTTTTTCAGAGGTTATTTAACCAGAGACTATTTTCTTTTTTCTTTTTTTTTTTTTTTTTTTTTTTTTTTTTTTTTTTGAGAAAGAGTCTTGCTCTATTGCCCAGGCCGGAGTGTAGTGGTATGGTCTTGGCGCACTGCAACCTCTGCCTTCCAGGTTCAAGTGATTCTCCTGCCTCAGCTTCTCGAGTAACTGGGATTACAGGTGTGCACCACCACACTCAGCTAATTCTTGTATTTTTAGAAGAGATGGGGTTTTGCCACATTGGCCAGGCTGGTCTCGAACTCCTGAACTCAAGTGATTTGCCTGCCTCGGCCTCCCAAAGTGCTGGTGTTAAGGACATGAGCCACAGTGCCCAGCCAACCAGAGACTACTTGTTTCGTGGCCATATTTAAACGGTCTAAGAAGGAAAAGTGAAGACTGTGTCTGTACTTTACATTAATGAACTATTATAACTTAGAAACATATATAAGTCTCCACACTTCCTTATTTTCACAAAAATGCCATAGAGAGACAAATCGAAACATAAAAAACTAGATATATTCTCTTATCCCTTGAGCCAGCCATGGAAACAGAGAGCCCCTCAATTAGTAGCAGAGGAACAGGTGAATTATCATCCACTTCTATCTATGCCCTAAAAGCAGAGTTTTTTCAGAAGCTTGAAGACAGAATGTTGACTATTTATTTTCCACACATAAAGACATTCGCCTTGTGCAATCAAACTACAATGTTTAAAATCAGGAAATTTGCATTAATGTATTATTATAATCTAATCCTTCAGCCCTATTCAAGCATTAGCACTTGTCTCAATAGTGTCTTATATAACAAAAAGTTCAAGTTCAAAATCAAACATTGTATTAAAATGTTAGGTCTGTTTAGTTTCCTTTAATCTGAAACAGGTTCATATTTTTTCTTGGTTTCCGTGACTTTAATATTTTTGAAGATTTCTGCCTAGTTATTTTTTAGAATGGCTCTCCCATCTTGAGTATGTGTGATGTTTCCTCATGTATGAATGAAGCATATACATCTTTGTCAGAAATATCCCAGAACCAATTCTGTACTCTCCTCATTATGTTCTATTGGGTGGGCCATGGTTTTTGATTTGTCTCATTACTGATGATGGTTACTTTTATTATTTGATAAAGGTTGTATATAACTTATCTATTATGGCATAATACATTAGCTAAAACCTTAGCAGTGTAAAACAGCAGATACTTAAGTTTCTCATAGGAATGGCTCTATTGAGTACCTCTGTCTCAAGGCTTCTCAAGAGTTTGTAGCTACCTTGTTGGCTGGGGTTGCGGTCTGATCTAAAGGCTTAGTTAGGGGGTGGTAGAAATCTTCCATATGTTCTTTGCTACGTGGACCTCACAGGCCTACATCATAACGTGGCAGCTGGCTTTCCTCAGAATGAACTACCCAAAAGAGAGCTAGACAGAGAGAAAACCCTCTGATTGAAGCCATAGTCTATTTATAACCTAATCTTGAAAGTGACATCACATCCCTTCTGCCATATTCTACAAGTAAGTGCAACGCGAATACAAGAAAGCTGGGATCACTGAGGGCTCTCCTACAGTCTACCTACCACTGTCTATACTCTGGCTCTCAATGATTCATGTTGCTCTGTCATGCAATATATTCTCATCCCTTTCTGAGGACCCCAAAATTTTCAACCCACTATAGCATCAGCTCAAAGTCCAGGAGCTTTTCATCTAAATCAAGTCTAGATGGGGAAGTGATTTTGGGTTTAATTCTTTTTTTTTTTTCTTTTAGATTTTTTACTTTTAGTTTTGGAGTACCTGTGCAGGATGTGCAGGTTTGTTACATTGATAAACATGTGCCAGGGTGGTTTGCTGCACCTATCAACCCATCACATAAGTATTAAGCCCAGCATGCATTAGTTATTTTTTCTAATGCTCCCCCTCCCTACCCTCCACCCCCCATCAAGCCTCAGTGTGTATTGTTCTCCACCCTGTGTCCATGTGTTCTTACTGTTCAGCTCCCACTTATAAGAGACAACACGTGGTGTTTGGTTTTCTGTTCCTGCGTTACTTTGCTAAGGATAATGGCTTCCAGCTTCATCCACGTCCCTGCAAAGGACATGATCTCATTTCCTTTTTGTGGCGGCATAGTATCTCATGGTGTATATGTACCACATTTTCTTCATCCAGCTTTGTGATACTAAAGAGGCCAGTTACTTACTACACACTCACCAAAAATACAGTGGCAAAACAGGAATAATATCTCTAGACATTCCTGTTGAAAAAAATGGGAAAATGCACAGACTAAAAGATGATTGGTCCACCACATTTTAAAATCCCAGTGGTAAATGTTGCAAGTCATTTGATTATATTCAACGCCTGTGAATAATTATTCATGCCTCTCATCTCTGACCTCTAGGCTCTTCGTTCTGCCTTTTGAGTTATTCTGTTCTTTTTCCATGAAATACAGCTTGTACTTGCAATAGTACTTGGATGTTGAACTTGTTAAGAGTGCATATCCTTTTGTTCAGATCCAACTATCATTTCCTAGTTGTATGTAGTTGTGTGGGTTATTTCTCCTCTTTTACATTGATTTTCTCACCTGCAAGTGAATAATAGTAACACTTTATGAGAGGGTTATTGCAAGTAGCAAGGAGAAAATGTATATTTACCATTTGCCACAATCCCTGGGGAAGTGCAGTCAATACATTGGAAAGGGTCCTCATAAGAGTTTGATGATCATTCTCAGAAAACTAGCCAGAGAAAGTCTAAATGGTAAAGGTTCCAGCTTATTATCTTCTTCCCTTTTCTCAAGTTTTCTCTCCATCTGACATGTGAGCTCAGTATTTACCATTGCCCTTTCTACAAATTTAACCAAGTTTATTTAAAAACATAATGACCTTCTATCCCAATTTACATTTTCCTTGGTGTAGAGGACGCCTTTACCTTGATGTGTGGAGACAAGCCGTTGATTTGTAAGAAACACCAATTATCAGCTTCCACTTGTGCTTCACAATCTGCTGAGTCGCTTTAACACTTTTGATGAAATTGAGCAAGGCCTTGTGATCTCTCCTGTGCCAGCCGTGAAGTGTCCACTGCACGCAGTTTGGCAGGACTATTTTCAGGGCCATAGGATGTTATGGCTGTGTGGGCAGGGAGCATTTTATTCGTCTGTTTGATTCCTGTGTTTTTATTAGTGGTGCAATTGCAAAGGTAATGCTATTGACACTTTTTGTGTAGCCTTGAGAGAAGAGTATGAATTGTGTTAGTAGCAGCACAGCGTGTCCCTAAACATAAACCATGCTGTACTGATAGTTACTTTAGCAGCCACTGATCAGCAATAAATGTTAAAAATTAACAAGAAGTTTCTTTTTTTTCGAAACCACCAAATGACTCTAAGCATTAAATATATTTTAGCCGGAGTTGCTTCTCGGCCACAGAGTGGTTCACAACATTAAACATATTTGCAAAGTATTACTCCTTCCCCAGCCTCCAAGTGGTTGTAAACATTAAATATGTCTTATAAAAACTGCTTTGCCAGCTACTGGCAAGATAGCTATGAACATCATTTTTCTTTAAAGTTGCCTTCCAGCTGCGGGACTATTTTTCCTTGTTTGCTCTATTCTATTTATATTTTGTACACAAAAGCAGGCAAGATGCTACGTTGGCCCAATTGTCTCTGGCTTTATGATAAGTGATCATGGGAGAGCAGTTGCACCTCCGTAAAACCCTGCTGGCCACAGGAGCTTGCTGAAGTTCAATCACTGATACTGAATATTTCATATAGATGTCAGCTGTGTCTTCCAAAATAATTTTTGTTTTTCATTGTGCAATGTGTTGAGGCATAAAGATGGGCATGCATTAACATCAGCATTAAGAAAAATAACTTGAAGCAACCAGACACTGATGAATTATACCCACTGATTCAGGTGAAAATATTCCGTGAAGAGAACAGACTCAAATGGCAGGACTAGTATGTTAATGAGGCCTTTAACCCAAACATGATGAAAGACTTGGAACCTCTGTCTGGAAATCATCCAGTGTGACAACTGCATGCGATTCAAAAAGAGTGAAGAGTATGCTATTACATAAAGGTCTATCCAGGACTTAGAGCAGGAAATCTTTTCATTTTAACCAAATTCACAGTGAAAATAACGTGTGTCCCCTGAGTGAATTGAAAAATAAATTAGCTCTATCATCTCAGGCACAGTAATTCATCATCAGGCCAAATAATTAATTACTCAGGAAGGCTTTGATTTCTATGGGAGCCAAGTGTTTTCCAAATTGTGTAGTACTGTATCTTGCCAAATGTTTTATTTTAGGTGTATGTTCAACAGGTTCAAATATTCATCAATACCTACGTGACAGGCACTATTTTAGGTACTGGAGCTAGAACTTGAGCAAAAAAGACAAAAATTCCTCCTCTCAGGAAGCTTTTACTCCAAAGGCCTCCTGCAGGGGCAGCAAGCTAAACTCTGTGAGCTAAATTCAACATATCATCTGTTTTTATTGGAACAGTTACACTTATTCATTTCTGTGTTGTCTATGGCTGCTTTCACACCACAATGGAAGAGCTGGCAACAGAGACCATATGGCCTGCAAAGACTAAAATATTTACTATCTGGTCCTTCACAGAAAAGTATGTTGACCCATTACATAGTGGATTGAGTTTGAGAGAGGAGATTAAGGTAAGGCCAACATTTTAAATCGACCTATGAGGAAAAAGTGTTTTTTTCTCCCTAAAAATTACCTCTTCCAAAAGAAAAAAAAAAAAAAAAACGTAAAAATAGAAAGAAAATGGCAAGACCCAAGGTAAAATGAAGGGTAAAAGTGAGCACCACACTAATACATATGTATCAGCGTGAAATCAGATGCTGCCATTTAGTTCCTGCTGAAAGTGTTGGTTTGGCTTTATTAAAATCACTTAAACACAGTCTTTCAATGTTATAGACTCATGGTAAAGGTTTCTTTTTCCTTTTGTGAATTTTTAAAAATTTCTCTGCAAAAATTATTCCTCACACAATTATGTAACTTTATATTTTCAGTTAAAACTAAAACTAAAAATGTTGAAAGAACAACTCGATATTGGATTAAAATATTCATTTTCCATCTTCATTCTCAGGATTCATATTTGGTTGCCTCATTGTGATATAAGTATGCTGAAAAAAATGGAAAATTGCTGAAAGCAAAATTTTTAAAACTCACCAGTATTAATAATTATCACCAAGTAACTATTACAGAAAACTTCCTCAGAAAGTAAAATTAGAGTGAAGGTATCACAGGTTGGCACTATTTTCATTCCCGACCAAGAAACTGACACTTGAAAATTAAAAAAAAAAAAATCAGAGTCTACAGTTTTACAAATAATTAACAAAATGAACATCAAAATAGGGTGCAATTTGTTTAATTGGCAAAGGCACACAACGAAAAAGAAATATGTCAATTAAACTGTCAACCATGTTAATTTTGCCTCTGAGAAAAACATTGTAATGGGATAATTTCATGAAATGCTTTGATGACAAGAAAATGCCAAAATATGATTAGCTACTTCAAAATTCAGCTGAAACAAGAAAGCAATTGGTGGCAGCCGGAATAACCAAAGGTCTTTTTTTAATATACCCTTTTTCCCCTCTCTTTTTGCCTGTGTTTAATCAATAGCGTACATTTTGTTTGACAGTGAAATGATTCATAATGAAAACATTGGCATCACGAAAACTTAGCAGAAACTTTGCTATAAGATTAGAGTATACACTTCTATTTTCCCCAAACTCTTTAAAAATATAATTACTATTTCTGAAAGAAGTTGTTATCTTTATGAAATAATGTATTTTTCTTACTAGCATTAAGTGCTTATTTAGCTAAAGGCCAGAATTAGAAGCAATTCACTCCTATGAGTATGTTTATATTTCTATTGTCAAATATATTTACTTAGAATTTAAACCAAGATATATTTTATTTATTGTTCTCATCACTGCCTGTTAGTCAGAATGGATATTTTAAATTTTACCAGGTCATGTAAATTTTACTACCTATATTTCTTATTCCTGTTTGTTTAGAAAAATAGTCTAGTCTATACCTAAGCTAACAAATAATCCTAAACATTGAAAATACAAACATGATTATGAAGAATTCACTTTCTAATAAGTTTCAGCTTTTTACAAATGGCTGCTTAAATATAATGCATAAATATAATGTATTTTTAAAAATACATCTTGTTTATGCATTACTTGAACCATAACTAATCCCCATTTCCAGTCAAAAAGAACACTGTCTACATATGTTAATCTCTAATACAACAAAAGCAGGCTTAGCTTAATGGGAAACTTATTAGAGTAAAATAGTTCTTTTTATTTTTTATTTTATTTTATTTTTACAATAAGAAGATTATAATTTGGTAACTAGCAGGAGAAGAAAGACTTCCAAAGATTATTTTATGGGTCCATGTATTTGTTTTTCCTGAGGGTAACTAGTGCTAATTCTAGAAAGGCAGAATGCTGCAGGAAAAACAAAATAAGCCCTGGAGTACAAAAGATTTGGATTCAAACTTTTAAGAAGGATGGGGAAGTGTTTAGGAAAGTGCTTCCTTGTGTAAAACTTAGCTGGTAAGTACCATATTTCACTGAAATTGCTGTTATAATAATTGAAACATTATTATTGGAAAAACAACATCAGCAAAACTAAACCCTAGATGAGTTTAAATAAGCGCCAGCCATTTTTCTCCTGTGGGGATTTAGAGTTGAAGTGGGTATCTTCAATTACTTTTCTCTATCCTCATTCTTATTCTTATAATTTTTCCTAATAAGTCACCTAAGAAGGGCATTTAAATAAGTGCTAGCCATTTTTCTCCTATGGGGATTTAGAGTTGAAGTAGATGTCTTCAATTACTTTTCTTCTCTATTCTCATTCTTCTTATAATTTTTCCTAATAAGTCACCTAAGAAGGGGATTCTAGAAACATCTCTTTCCAAGAATACATATTGTTTTAAGAAATATCAGTTACCCCAAATACTTGAATAGAAACTAGGAAAACAGGAGAGGAAGATTATAGGTGTAAACAAGGAATTACTGTGCAGTAATATGTGTAGTGGACGTGAAAAGTAATGACTTAACAGTTTGAATTCACAAAGATGGACCAAACAAATACATTTATTTCTCCTTTATTCCAAATTGCCATTGAAATAGGAAAATATAGTACTTATTAAAATAACTATGGAAAGTTGAGAAGAATTCTACCAACAGACTAAAGAATAAGCAATTTCTGAAGGACATAAGTCATATCAGAGGCACTTTAGTCTTTGGCCGTAATAGAATTATTGGAGGGACTTGCCTTTTCACTATAAACAATGATAAGACTGGGCAACATATATAAGGAAACAGGTTTTATGCATCAAACAAGAAGTACAAGTTTTTCATACTCAAGAGAAAAGAAAGCCGTGAGGTAAGCACCACATTTAACCAGAGAATGTGACTAGGGGCACTTTTTCTCCCATTAAACAAGGAGGCAGACTCTAAAAATAACGAGTTTAGAGGAAGAGATTAAAGCTTAATGCTCTCATTTTGTAGGTTGTCTGCTTATTTGTTGATAATTTCTTTTGCTATGCAGAAGCTCTTAATTTAATTAGGTTCCAAAAAGAGGTAGGGGTAGAGGGACAAGAGCCAAGGAACTTCCTGTTAGGTATTCAGTTCACTACCTGGGTGACAGGATCAGTGGAAGCCCAAACAGTAGCAGCAAGCAATATAACTTTGTAACAAACCTGCACATATACCCCCTGAATCTAAAATTAGAATTAAATCTCTATCTATATCATCTCTCTATCTATCTATCTATCTATCTATCTATCTATCGATATTTGTAAATAGCTTAAAGTTGCTTAAGTGATTGTTATCTGAGAGCTGCTGAAGCGGCTGAAATTTGTATAGGAAAGGAAAAAGAGGCATGGGGTAGGCCTACAGAAGCCAGAATAAGTGTTTGGCACCAATTTCGTCAAAAGCTGCTCTATACCTGAGCAGGGTTAACATCTGCAAGACCTGCTGAAAGCAGATACTGTGGGAATAAGATATCAGTAGTAACAGGACAAGGAGATGTTTGGGTTACTGACTAGCCACAGGGAAGATATTTTACTGAATATTCCAGGCATTAAGAACAAGGACTATTTCTTTCAGTAAAGACTATGTCCTATATTTAAGAACAAAAATGAAAGAGATTTTCCTTAACAAATAATGAAACCAGGCATGGCAGATCAAAAGGATCTGGAAGCCACTTAACAGCTTTCAAAGGACTATCTTAGGCCCCTTTACAAGAAGACAACATCTAGATTCTCTACGGTGTATTAGTCAAAAATACAAGTTATGCAAAGAAGCAGGAAAATTTAATAAATAATCAAGGGGAAAAAAGCAGTCAATAGAACATACATGATAATGACCCAGGCATTGAAATGAACAGATATATATTATGAATATGTCCTTAGACTATGGAGATATTGTCACAATGATAGAACAAAAAAGGAAATTTTCAGTAATGAACATTGTTGAAGTAACAAGTGCAAAATATACAATGAAAGAGTCACTGGCAGGGTATACTCTCAGATTTCAGCCATCTGAAAAGCAGACAAATAACCTTGAAAACCATTTTTGAATTTATCTAATCTCAAACAAAAGAGGAAAATGATTAAAATAAGAGATTGAATGACATGGGATATCAAGCCATCAAACCTATACACAAATGAAGTCTCAAAAGGATGAGTCAGAAAATGGGAAAGAAAAAATATATTTGAAGAAATAATTGCCAGTGTTTTCAAATTTTGATGAAAAATTTCAGTGCAGAGATCCAAGAACATCAAATCAACAGGAATACATGTATGAAGGGTATAAAGCCAATAGCATAATTAAAATGAAATATTGAAAAATATCCATTTACTCTAAGGAAGGTAACACTGAACTGGTGAAGAAAGAAATATCAACAACCAAGGGAAGAGAACATCACCCAAATAAGAAAATAGTAGGCAAATAGTAACATGGTAGATTTAACAACACTGACATCACTGATTAAATGTAAATGGATTGAACATTTATATTAGTTTCCTAGGGTTATATAACAAAGTACCATAAACTAGGTGCCTCAAGCAACAAAAATGTATTATCTCAAGTCCTGAAGGCTAGAAGTCTGAATTCAAGGTACGGGTTCCTTATAAAGGCTGTGCAGAAGAATCTGTTCTAGACATCTCTCCGTGGCTTTTAGATGGCTTTCTTCATGTTCATATGTTGTGCTTTCTGGTGGCATTTTTGTGTCCAAATTTCCCCCTTTCATAAGGCCACCAATCACATTGGATTAGAGGCCACTCTAATGATCCCATTTTGACTTGATTACATCTATAAAGATCCTATCTTTAAATAAGGTCGCATCCTTAATTACTGGGGTAAGGACTTCAACATATGTTTTTTTTGGCAGACAATTCAACCCATAACGCACTCAAATTAAGAGCTAGCAATTCTGAGACTGGATTTAAAAAGGACAAAACTATATGCTCTGTACAATGAATGCATTTTTTTTTGAGACAGAGTCATAAAATTGGTTGAAAATGAAAGGAAGTAAAACTGATGTAGCTGGCTAATACCAGAGAAAGTAGGATTCAAAATAAGCTGAAATATCAGAGATGGAATGATAAAAGGTTAAGCTCATTAGCAATGCATTATAATTCTCAATGTTTATACAACTGATAACAGAGTGTCAAAATGCACGAAGTAAAAACAGACAGAACTAAACAGAAAAATAGAAAGACTTTCAGTCATAGTTGAAGATTTTAATCATCGGCTCAAAATAAACAATAGATGAACAAATAAAAATTAGTAAGGATTTGGAAGATTCTAATAATACTATCAACTAATGTAGTCTAATTTCAAGTTTTAGAACACTACACAAAAAATTTCATGAAAATATTTTTATCAAATTTACATGGAACGTTTATGAAGGACTATGTAGTCTCGGCCATTAAATAAGTCTCAATAATTTGCAAAAGATTAAAAATTATCTTCAGAGGTGAAACAATGGTTTTTGCGTTGATTGAGATATTGATTAAATATGTACATTTGTGAAAACTTACTAAATTGAATGCTTAATTTCTGTGCATTTTGCTGTATCTCAATTCTAATAGAAAGACAGGCAAACATATAAATACCTATTACAGACATACCTACACACACACACGTGTGTGTGTATGTGCGTGTGTGTATGTGTGTGTATAAGTCATTTGTATATATACTGGCAGTGAATCCCAGTAAAGGTGAGGAATACATATTCTCACACTGGTAGAAATGATGACTTTTTACAGTCTGATTTTTTTGTGTGTTTTAATCCAGAAATAATCCCAAAATTAGAGATACAAGGGAACGGTAATTGGTCCATAGAATAATAACTGTCCAAGAAATTTACAGCATATGACTCCCTGTCCCACGCTCAATTGAGGTTTGTTTTATGTCTTTGCTCTGGGAAGAAAGCCCCCAGTTTAGCTTTCTAAATGATGAGTTCAGAATCTACTCACAAGCATTAGAGATTAGTAAAGTTCCTTGTATTCAGTAGAGTTCCTTGCAACAAGCATAAGCAGTAGAGATGCTGCCACTTTCAAAAGACTTACATATGGACCACTGAAAAGAAAGGCATTATGTGGTCAATTTTAGAGCATGTGCCATGTGGAGATGAGAAGAATGTATATTCTGTTGTTTTTGGATGGAGAGTTCTGTAGATGTCTATCAGACTCATTTGGTGGAATGTTGGGTTCAGATCCTGAATATCATTGTTAATTTTCTACCTTGATGATCTGTCTATGACTGTCAGTGGTGTGTTAAAGTCTCCTACTATTATTGTGTGGGAGCCTCTTTGTACTCTAAGAACTTACTTTATGAATCTGGGTGTTCCTGTGTTGGGTGCATATATATTTAGGTTAGTAAGGTCTTCTTGTTGAGTAAAACCCTTCATCATTATGTAATGCACTTCGTCTTTTTTTTTTTTTTTTTTTTTGAGATGGAGCCTCACTCTGTCGCCAGGCTATAGTGCAGTGGCACAATCTCAGCTCACTGCAATCTCCGCCTCCCGGGTTCAAGTGATTCTCCTGCCTCAGCCTCCCGAGTAGCTGGGACTACAGGCACACACCACCAAGCCCAGCTAATTTTTTTTTTTTTTTTTTTTTTTTGGATTTTAGTAGAGATGGGGTTTCACAATGTTGGCCAGGATGGTCTCGATCTCCTGACCTGGTAATCCACCCACCTTGGCCTCCCAAAGTGCTGGGATTACAGGTGTGAGCCACCACTCCCGGCCCCTTCTTTGTCTTTTTTGAACTTTGTTGGTTTGAAGTCTGTTTGGTCTGAAATTAGGATGCAACCCCTGCTTTTTTCTGTTTTCTACATGCTTGGTAGATTTTCCTCCATTCCTTTATTTTGAGCCTATGGGTGTCATCACATGTGAGATAGGTCTCAAAGACAGCATACCATTGAGTCTTGCTTTTTTATTCAGCTTGCCCCCCTTTACCTTTTAAGTGGGGCATTTAGCCCACTTACATTCAAGGTTAGTATTTGATATGTGTAGATTTGATGCCCTCTCTCATGACTCCTATTCAACATAGGAAATCCCAGCCAGAGTAATCAGGCAAGAGAAAGAAATAAAGGGCATCCAAATAGGAAGAGAGGAAGTAAAATTATCCCTATTTGAAGCTGACATGATTCTATATCTAGAAAACCCCATAGTCTCAGCCCCAAAGCTCCTTCTGCTAATAAAAAAAACTTCAGCAAAGTTTTAGAAAGAAAATCAATGTACAAAAATCACTAGCATTTCTATAAACCAACAGTAACCAAGCTGGCAGTCAAATCAGGAAGGCAATCCCATTCACAATTTTCACAAAAAGAATAAAATATCTAGGGTAAAATACAACTAACCAGGGAGGTGAAAAATCTCTACAATGAGAATTACAAAACACTGCACAAAGAAATCAGAGAGGATACAAACAAAATGGAAAACATATCATGCTCATGGATAGGAAGAATCAATATCATTAAAAGGCCATACTGCACAAATCAATTTACAGATTAAATGCTATTTCTATCAAACTACCAATGACATTCTTCAAAAACTAGAAACAACTGTTTTAAAATTCATGTGGAACCAAAAAAGAGGCCAAATAGCCAAGGCAATCTTAAGAAAAAGAACAAAGCTGGAAGCATCAGGCTATCTGACCTCAAACTATACTACAGGGCTATGTTAACCAAAACAGCATGGTACTGGCACAAAAACAGGGACATAAACCAATAGAACAGAATAAAGAACCCAGAAATAAAGCCACACAGCTATGATTATCTGATCATCAATAAAACTGACAAAAACGAGCGATGGGGAAAAGACTGTCTTTTCAATAAATGGTACTGGGATAACTAACTAGCCATATGCAAAAGATTGAAACTGGACCCCTTCCTTACACAATATACAAAAATCAACTCAAGATGGATTAAACACTTAAATGCAAAACACAAAATTAGAAAAACCCTGGAAGACAACCTAGGCAATACCGTCCTGTACTTAGAACAGGCAAGGATTTCATGACTAAGATGTCAAAAGCAATTGCAACAAAAGCAAAAATTCATAAATGGGAACTTCATTAGTCCATTTTCACACTGCTATAAAGAACCACCAGAGACTGAGTAATTTATAAAGAAAAAGGTTTAATTGACTTGAAGTTCAGCATGGCTGGGAAGGCCTCAGGAAACTTACAATTATAGAAGAAGGTGAAAGGGACGCAATGCACCTTTTTCACAAAGCGGCAGGAAGGAGAAGTACCAGGCAAAGCTGGGAAGAGCCCCTCATAAAACCATTAGATCTCGTGAGAACTCATTCACTATCACAAGAACAGCATGGGTGAAACCACCCCCAGATTCAATTACCTCCACCTGGTCTCTCCATGTGGTGATTATGGAGATTATAATTCAAGATGAGATTTGGGTGGGGACACAAAGCCTAACATATCAGGATCTCATTAAACTTATTAAGAGCTTCTGCATAGCAAAAGAAACTATTAACAAAATAAACAGACAACCTACAGAATGGGAGAAACTATTTGCAAACTATGCGTCTGACAAATGTCTAAAATCCAGCACCTATAAGGAATTTAAACAAATTTACAAGAGAAAAACAACCCCATTAAAATGTGGGCAAAGTACATGAACAGACACTTTTTAAAAGAAGACATACATGCAGCCAACAAGCATGTGAAAAAAAACAAACTCAATATCACTGATCATTAGAGAAATGCAAATTAAAACCACAATGAAATATAATTTCATACCAGTTAAAATGGCTACTATTAAAATGTCAAAAAATAACAGATGCTGGCAGGTTGTGGAGAAAAGGAAACACTTACACACTGTTAGTGGGAGTGTAAGTTAGTTCAACTATTGTGGAAAGCAGCATGGCAATTCCTCAAAGAGATAAAAGCAGAACTACCATTCCAACCAGCAATCGCATTACTGCATATATACCCAGAAGAAAATATATCATTCTACCATAAAGACACATGCACACAAATGTTCATTGCAGCAATATGCACAATAGCAAAGACATAGAATCCACCTCAATGCTCATCAATAAGAGTTTAGATAAAGAAAATGTGGTATATAGACACCATGGAGCTATAAAAAAGAATGAGATCATGTTCTTTGCAGTAACATGGATGGAGCTGGAGGCTATTATACTGGGCAAATTAACACAGGAACAAAAAACCAAATACTAGAAAATACTGCATGTTCTCACTTACAAGTGGGGAACTAAATTATGAGAACACATGGACACAAAGAATGGAACAGCAGACACCGGAGTCTACTTGAGAGTGGAGGGTGACAGGAGACAGAGGAGCAGGAAAAATAATTGTTGAGTACTTGGTACCTAGGTGACAAAATGATCTGTACAACAAACCCTGGTGACACGAGTTTACCTATATAACAAACTTTCACAGGTACTCCCAAACCTAAAATAAAAGTTAAAAAAAAAAGAAGAAAGCAAGCCCAAACCCATGCTGTACCACATGGCAGCATGGCATTGCAATTTTCAATTACTTGGGGGAAATAAAGATTCTCATGTGATTAGAGGAAATAATCTTTATTTAATAATAATGCTTAATAAGAACACTTGACAATAGATGGCTGAGAAAACCAAGAATCACCAAATATTTAAATAAAAATAAAAAATAAAGAATATCCTATCTATGAAATGATATAAACACTAAGAAAATAGAAGTAACAGAAGAAACCAAAGAAAATGTCAATAGCCTTGGTGTCCATAGAGGAATAGGAATCACAAAAATAACCATAAAGTATTTTTAAAAATACCTTTTACAAGCAATACTCCAGAATGTCAGAAATTAAAAATATCATTAGCAAAATAAAATGTAGTAAACAGAATAAATAATATAAAAGACAAAACTGATGTCTAAAGATTACCCCAGAATCTGAACTGCATGAGAGGGAATAATAATTACATTACTGGATATGAGAACAACTATTTAATAGACACATCTACTTGGATGACAATGCTTTTTTTAAATGTCAAATTTCCAGTTTATTAATTTTAATACATTTCTGATCAAAATTACTCATTTCTTTTTGTGCCCTTATTTTTTGCATTAATTTTCATTTTTTACATCTCCATGCTGAATTGAAAAAAAATTCTACTGACCTGTATTTCAGTATATTAATTATTCCTTCAATGGTATCTAATCTGGTGGTAAATTATCTATTATATTTAATTTAAGTAATCACATTTGTATTTTAAATGTTTTGCTTATTTCATCTACAATATAATACTAACATAGTTTTTTCTCTACAATTAGTTTAAGCTTTTAACTAAATTTTTAAAGAGTAAAATATTTATTATCTTTCTCTGGTATTTTCCAATGTTTGAAGTCTTTGTGTGTCTAATTATGTTTCATGTTGTTTTTGTTGATTTTAACTTATTTTGCCTTGTTTCACTGTGTTCTTGAGAATATTGTAAGATTTAGCTTTAGGGTATTTTTATAAAGCATTCAGATTTGCTTCTCCCTAATACCTGGGCAGTGTATGAGTAGGACCACCTTAAAAAAATGTTCAATTCTTGAGATTACCTGAGTCACGCCATCACACAAACCCAAGTAGTGGATCCAAGCTACCACTGCTTTAGGTCTGTCTGGTTCACCTTATGCTGAGAGTATAAGATTTGGTCATCTCAATCTTTTAGGGGAGGGCTCCTTAAGAAGACAACATATGCTAGTCTTGGGTTTTGGTTTCTTTCTCATTCACCCTGAAACTGTCAAAATAAATATTAATATTTGTAGAGATCGGCAAATTGCAACTGGTAAGGTTATATCCTTACCTCTCTGGGTTCTTCTTTTCTCTTCAAATTTGGTTTGATCACTCATTAAAATTTTATAAGCTCTCAATGCTTTTTAAAAGGTGTTTTAAGTGTGCAATCACTAGCATTTTTTAAAGTTTTTTCATTGGGAATTATAGTCTGAATAATATCCCACCATAACTAGAAAATGAAATACCTACCTATTACAAATGCAATACCTTATATATATTGAGTAATTTGCCTTTTTCTAATTAATTTTATTTTAAAACTCATATTAAAACCTATATTTTATAAGAAAAAAAAAAGCTTGACATTTGATTAAGACCAACTTAGCTCCACAAATCTCTACCCGAATGACCACAGGCAAGTGATCTGACATTTGCAAGTGCCTATTTTTTTTCATTTATAAAATGGAAATACATAACTGAGCTTAATGTGGATCAAAGAAATTAATATGTAAAAAAAATCAAACGCAGAACCTGAAAATGATAGGAAGTCAGTTATTCAGCCTACCTATCCACTACTAAAATTCTTGGTTATGAACTTCACAAGGGAACACACTGTATTACTACTCTACTCAATAACATGAATTTCATTGTGTATCTTCTGGGGCAAGTGCTTCTTCCAAACAAATTAAACCATGCCACTCACACAACGTTCATCTATCTCATAAGTTTTTGCTATTCTCCTGTTGATTTTACATTTAATGAGGGATAAATTCTATTTTCACAATCATAATCAAATAGTACCTAGAGAATAAAAGCTACTAAGACAAGACAACCCTCAATTCAATTAATAACTAATCTCTCTCTTTTTCAGAGGTACATCAGTTGTTCCTCCAGTATTAAAACCCCTCCTGTTTTACAATAAAAAAGCAGACAGATGACAGGATCTCATTAAACATCTATTGTGCACCCACACACAAAAAATTAAGTAGGCAGATGCTCTGATTATTTAAAGCAACACACAGAGTTTTAGGATGAAGTTTTATTTCTGAATTTTAACTTATGCACAACTTTTAAAATATTACTTCATTTATAAAGCAAGCAGCACTAACTTGGTAACTTGGAATCACTGTATTTTTCTTCATAAAGAATAAAGTCAGGATGGGATAACAGTTAGCTCTCTGTTTCTGAATAATGATTCAACATTAATTTAGATATTAGAAGCTCTCACATGCAAGTGTGTGTGCAGGCACTCACACACACTACTCTGAAGAGGTAGAATATGAGGAAATAAGATACACATACACAGAGAAGGAATATGTAACATTTAATTTTAACCTCAATGACAGGAGGAGGAGCACCAATAATCTAAAAAAAAAAAAGAAATCCCAAAAGTTTTGGATTAGCTGCCTCTCTAGCTAAGTATATATTTTATTGCTAATCAATATGGCATGACCAAAATTATAGCAATGAAAATAGTCATAATTATCATCATTAAGTAATGAAAATAATATTTATGTGCTCAACAGTATTATATATTCTGATTAAATCATGTGCTATTGAAAGCAGGATGAAGTAGAGCTTATTTTATATCTTAGAATTCTTTTCCATCAATGTCAGTTTAGGAAATGAAAGTTATTAGAATTTCAATGTAATTAATTCATTTGCAATTGGTGTCTATTTGGTTATGTATTTTTTCATAGATATAGTCTGAGAGACATCTGGTAACTTTTATCATGTCTCTGAGAAACCAATTTTCTGTAAGGCCTAATTTTTTTTCTTAAATAAATATGTATCTGCTCATGCATATACCAACTTCATGGATTCCAAACAATAAAAAAGTTAATTGTAAGGATTGGACAGAATCTACATTTTAAATGCTATTTAAAACATTATCACACTGTAGTGGAGGAATCATAAAGTGCAGAAGTTTTTCAACCATGCCACCACAAGCTACATCTCTACAAAATGTTTTGTACTTTTACTTTAAAGAACTAAAATTGGAAACAAAGAGTGGAGAATTATTTCTTCCTTTTCTCTTCCCTTCATCCTCATTCTAGCACCAGTCATACCTGACCATGATTTGTAAAGAGTATAAATTACTCCTCTTCTCAGAGGTAGAAATACACAGAAAAATACACAAAAAACAAATTCTGTCAAAATATATTTAAAGAGGTTTATTCAGAGCCAGTATAAGTGACCAAGGCCTGGGTTACACTATCTCAAGAGGTTCGGAAAGCATGCCCAAGGCAACCGGGTTACAGTTTGTTTTTATACATTCCAAGGAGACAACCAATTGCAGGTAATTGCAGGTAGGTCAGGGGAGGAGCTTGTACGTCATAAGTGGGTTTTAGGGATCCTTTAGTTGACAATTGGTTGAGAGAGTTATGCTATTGTCTAAAGTCTTGAAATCGATAGAAAGGAATGCCTGAGTTCAGATAAGAGTGGGGGAAAGACCAAGGATCTTATTAAGTAGATGAAGCCTCATAGGTGGCCCTCAGAGAGAATAGATGGTAAATGTTTCTTTTCAGACCTTTAAAGGTATCAGACTCTCAATCACTCCTAGGTCCTGGAAAGGCATAGAAAGGGGAAGCATGGCTGCATTAATGAAGATTCTCCATAGATGCAAATTTCCTCTACCTCAGTTTGCTGGCCTTGCAACAGCCATTTCAAAACACATCAAAGAAATATATTTTAGGGCAAAATATTTTTATATCCTTCAGGGTCTGCTGTCTGTTATGTGATGCTGTACCAGAGTCAGGTTGGAAAGCAAGCCACATTATATAGGGTTAATAAAAAACCCATGTAAAGAGATGTTATCATTCGTAGGGCTGACTCCCAGTTTCTTTAAATAGGAATTTGGGCAAGATGAAAAAAAAAAATCAGAATTTAGTCCTCAACTCAAATATTTTATTCATTCAAATGCTTATTCAAACTACCGAATCCTCCAATAACAGAAAGTATAGTGTCTATCCTGAAGACTTTCATCCCATCTCACAGCATGTTTTCTCCCAGTACACCCTGATTGTCCAAGGACTTCTGAGAACACCATTCCAAAAGAGGTCATGATCTCAAGAACTGTCACAGAAGGAAAGAATACAGGAAGACAAGATGCGAAAGTTATGTCAGTGGCTTTCATTCATCACACCACTATGTACTGGTTCTCTAGTACTGTGCTGTTATGATCCTCCTGACTTTTACCCTGTGAATATCCTAGTGCTTTTATATCAGTCTCACATCCTCAACATCCTGGTTTCCATAAAAATGCAACCAAGTCAGATGGCTGTGATCTGGTGGGATTCTAGTTCCATTTGCAGCCTCCAAAGCAGTCTTTTACCTAAGAACACTCAGGCCTCCAAGGTTAAGATAACAGTATACTCCAATGCAAAATTCTCCACCTCCCTACTTCAGGTCCCAGGGACTCTCAACTGCGAGTCACTCTTTGAACAATAAGAACAGACACTTAAATGATGATAACTAACGGCAACAGCACTAATGTAAGAACTCTGGAACTATTAGTACCCTCATCTTCCAGATGAGAGAACTCAATAACAGATGATTTACATAAACTGCCTGAAGATACAGTAGAATAATAATAATGAAATCCAGGCATTGTGGACCTGAATGCTGCTACCTAGCTACTCCTCTTTGTGGCTTCTCCATTGTCTTTTCCTGCCAGTTCAGTTCTAACAGGAATAAACAGACGCTATTCAAAAGCTTTTCAAGTCTGAATGAAGATGTACCTAGGGTTGGTGTTGATGAACTTTCCCTCACTCTTGCTTAAGGAAATTTGTTCTTTCCTGCTATTTGAGAGACATGTTCTTCCTCTTCTTCTTCAAAAGAGCTAAAATGCACCTTTATTTGCATAATGAAGATAGTGCAGTGAAGTACTTTCTTCCATTGTCAAGGAAATGAGCTCCAAAGGAACTTTCTTTTAGCATAGAGAAAGCTGCTGTTTTTATTTACTTGCATTTTGCATATGAATATATTTTAATTTAGTTTCAACAGGTAACTGAATTAGAAAGTGAAATTATAAAGTCATTTCTCCAAGAAAGAAGGTAGAGCTTATAAATATTAGAAATCTTAGCTGGGCACGATGACTTACGCCTGTAATCCCAGCACTTTGGGAGGCTGATGCGGGCCAATCACCTGAGGTCAGGAGTTTGTGACCGGCCTGGCCAATATGGTGAAACCCTGTCTCTACTAAAAGTACAAAAATTAGTCTCTACTAAAAATACAAAAATTAGCCGTATGTGGTGGCACGTGCCTGTAATCCCAGTTACTTGGGAGGGTGAGGCAGAAATTGCAGTGAGCTGAGACCGCACCACTGCACTCCAGCTTGGCGAACAGAGTGAGACTCCGCCTAAAAATAAATAAATAAATAAATATTAATAATCTTTTTAAGAAATGATTGTGGCTATTTCTAGGTCTAATGATACTTGCTTAATCGTATTGAAAACAATGTTATTTCTTTGAATGGCAATGGAATGTAAAATATTTAAAAATGCAATTTGACTTTTTTTACTTTTTAAAATTTATGTAGCTGGGCCAGGCACCCTGGCTCATGCCTGTAATCCCAGCACTTTGGGAGGCTGAGACTGGCAGATCACAAGGTCAGGAGATCGAGACCATCCTAGCTAACACGGTGAAACCCCGTCTCTACTAAAAACACAAAAAAATTAGCTGGGCGTGGTGGTGGGCACCTGTAGTACCAGCTACTCGGGAGGCTGAGGCAGGAGAATGGCATGAACCTGGGAGGTGGAGCTTGCAGTGAGGTTGAGATTGCTCCACTGCACTCCAGCCTGGGTGACAGAGTGAGACTCTGTCTCAAAATAATAATAATAATAATAATAATAATAATAATAATAATAATAAAATAAAATTTATGTAGCTGATATATTACTATAACCTCACTTGCATTTTTAAATTATTTTACTGTTTCTCTCTTTTTACTTTTATCTTACCTATGCTGTATTTGAAGTTAGTTTTATATAGACAGAATTTTAAAAATTATTTATTTATGGGGTACAAATGCAATTTGGACAATATTGTTGGCCATGTTTTTTCGTTTTTGATTTTTGTTTTTTTAACTACTCTGCCAATCTATGTTTTTTAGTTGGTTTCTATAGGCCTTTTATGTTTAACAATTTATATGTTGTGGTTGAAGTCTACCACTTTGTTATTTGTTTCTGTTTGTTTCTGTTTCTTATTCCTCTGTGTCTTTTTCTTGCTTTCCAATGGGTTACGTAAACATGTTAAGTTTCCATCTTAATTTATTTATAGTGTTTTTAAATACAATGTTGCATCACTTAATGACAAAAATTACATTCTGAGAAATGCATTAGGCAATTTCTTCACTGTGTAACATCATATAGTGTATTCTATGTGTAAATAGAGATAGCATAACCTACTACACACCCTAGGTTATGTGGTACAGCCTGTTGATCCTAGGCTACAAACCTATACAGCATGTTACTGTGCTGAATACTGTAGGCATTTGCAACACAATGGTAAATATTTGTGTATCTAAACATAAAAAAAAGGTACAGTAAAAAATCCAGTCAAAAATCAAAAATGGTATACCTGATTAGGGCACTTACTATAAATTAAGTTTGCAGGACTAGGAGTTGCTCTGGGAGAGTTAGTGAGTAAGTGGTGAGTGAGCGTAAATGCCTAGGGCATCATTGTACAAAACTGTAGACTTTATAAACACTGAATTTATAAAATTTGTAAAAAAAACTTCTTTCTTTCAAAATACATTAAACTTATCCTACAGTAACTTTTTTACTTTATAAACTTTTTAACTTATTTTTAACTTTTTGACTCTTTTGTAATAACACTTAGCTTAAAACGCATATTGTACACAGAAATACTTTATTTCCTTATATCCTTATTCTCTAAGTTTTTTTGTAATTTTACATCTTTTAACTTTTAATTTTTTTGTTGTTGTTGTTAAAAACAAAGACACAAATGCACATACTAGCGTAGTCCTACACAGGGTCAGTATGATCAACATCACTGTTTTCTACCTCCAGATCTTGTCCCACTGGAAGCTCCTCTAGGCCAATAATGCATATGGATCTGTTGACATCTCCTATCATAACAATGCCCTCTGAAATGCCTCGTGAAGGACCACTGTGAGGCTGTTTTACAGTTGCCTATTTCTTTTTTTTTTTTTTTTTTGAGACAGAGTCTCGTTCTGTCGCACAGGCTGGAGTGCAGTGGCGTGATCTCGGCTCACTGCAAGCTCCGCCTCCTGGGTTCACGCCATTCTCCTGCCTCAGCCTCCCGAATAGCTGGGAATATAGGCGCCCCCCACCAGGCCTGGCTAATTTTTTGTATTTTTAGTAGAGATGGGGTTTCACCATGTTAGCCAGGATGGTCTCGATCTCCTGACCTCGTGATCTGCCCGCCTCGGGCCTATTTCTTTTAATAAGTAGAAGGTGTACACTACAATAACAATAAAAAATATGGTATAGTAAATACACGAAAATGTAATATATTTGTTTATTATTATTACTAAGTAAAATGTACTTGTATTAGTCCATTCTCACACTACTATAAAGACACTACCTGAGATTGGGTAATTCATAAAGGAAAGATGTTTAATTGAGTCACAGTTCTGCATGGCTGAGGAGGCCTCATGGAACTTACAGTCATGGTGAAATGGGAAGCAGTCATCTTCTTCACAAGACAACAGGAGAGAGAAGGATTGTGTGTAGGAGGAGCTGTGAAACACTTAACAAAACCATCAGATCTCCTGAGAACTCACTCACTATCATAAGAACAGCATGGCAGAAACCGCCCACATGATCCAATCACCTTCCACCAGGTCCTGCCCTCAACACATGGGTATTATGAAGATTACAATTCAAGATGAGATTTGGGTGGGGATATAGAGCCAAACCATATCATTCCACCCCTGGACCCTCCCAGATCTCACATATTTTTTACATTTCCAACCCAACATCATGCCTTCCTAACAGTCCCCCAGAGTCTTAAATCATTTCAGCAGTAACTCAACAGCCCACAGTTCAAAGTCTCATCTGAGACAAGGCAAGACGTTTTGGCCTATAAGCCTGTAAAATCAAAAGCAAGTTAGTTACTTCCTAGATACCATGAGGGTACAGGAATTGGATAAATGCTCCCATTCCAAATTGGAGAAATTAGTCAAAACAAAGGGGATACAGACCCCATGAAAGTCTGAAACCCAGCAGGGCAGTCATTAAAACATAAAGCTTTAAAATAATCTCCTTGTCTCCATGTTTCACATCCAGGGCATGTTAATGCAAGGGGTGGGCTCCCATGGCCTTGGGCAGTTCCTTCACAGGCTGGCATTGAGTGTCTGTGGCTTTTCCAGGTGCACAGTACAAGCTGTTGGTGGATCTTCCATTCAGGGGTCTGGAGAACAGTGGCCCTCTTCTCACAGCTTCACTAGGCAGTGCCCCAGTGGGGACTCTGTGTGGGAGCTCCAACCCCACATTTCCCTTCTGCACTACCCTAGCAGAGGTTCTCCATGATGGCTCCACCCCTGCAGCCAATCTCGGCCTGGACATCCAGGCATTTCCATACAACCTGTGAAATCTAGGCAGAGGTTTCCACACCTGAATTCTTGACTTCTGTGTACCCTCAGGCCCAACATCATATGGAATCCTCCAAGGCTTGGGGCTTGCACCCTCTGAATCAACAGGTGAGCTGTACATTGTCTCCTTTTAGCCACGGCTGGAGCTGGAGTAGCAGCAGCTGGGACACAGGGCACCAAGTCCTGAGGTTGCCCAGAGCAACGGGGCCATAGGCCCAGCCCATGAAACCTTTTTTCCTCAGAGGCCGCTGGGTCTGTGATGAGAAGGGCTGCCATGGAAGTCTGTGATACGCCCAAGAAAAATTTTGCCATTGTCTTGGCTACTGTAACAACATTCGGCTTCTTGTTATTTAGGCAAATTTCTGTAGCCAGCTTGAATTCCTCCCCTGAAAAATGGGTTTTTCTTTTCTACTGCATGGTCAGGCTGCAAATTTTCCAAACTTTTATGCCCTGCTTCCATTTTAAACATAAGTTCCAATTTGAGATAATGTTTCTCAAATTAAAAGTTCCACAGATCTCTAGGACAGGGGCAAAATGCTTCTAGTCTCTTTGCTAAGGCAGAGTAAGAGTGATCTTTGGGCTCTAGCTCCTAATGAGTTCTTCTTCTCCATCCAAGACCACCTCAGCTTGGACTTCACTGTCTATATCACAATCAGCATTTTGGTCAAAACCATTCCACAAGTCCCTAGGAAGTTTCAAACTTTCTCACAACTTCCTGTCTTCTTCTGAGCCCTCCAAACACTTCCAACCTCTGCCCGATACCCAGTTCTAAAGTCACTTCCTCATTTTCAGTATCTTTATAGCAGTGCCCCACTCCCAGTACCAATTTACTCTATTAGTCTGTTCTCACACTGCTATAAAGATACTACCCAAGACAGGGTAATTTATAAAAGAAAGAGGGTTAATTGACTCATAGTTCTGCATGGCTGGAGAGGCCTCAGAAAACTTACAATCATGGTGGAATAAAAGCAGTTGGCTTCTTCACAAGGCAACAGGAGAGAATGAGTGTGTCTAGGAGAAACTTTCAAACACTTTTAAAACCATCAGATCTCATGAAAACTTACTCACTATCATGAGAACAGCATGAGGGAAACTGCCTCCAGGATCCAATCACTTCCCACCAGGTCTTGCCCTTGACACGGGAGGATCATGAGGATTACAATTCAAGATGAGATTTGGGTGGGGCCACAGCCAAACAATATCAGTACTAGACATAATTTTATGTGCTACACTTTTTTATAACTGGCAATGCAGTAGGTTTGTTTACACCATCATTGCCACAAACAGGTGAGAAATATGTTAGACTATAATGTTAAGACAGCTCAGCTGCAATGTCACTAGGTAATATTCATCTCCATTATAATCTTATGGGACCACCATGATATATGCAGTCTATTGCTGAGCAAAACATCATTATGCAGTGCATGATTGTACATGATTTTGTTTGGTTTTATTAATTGCACTGGTTAAAATAATATATGTGTAATGTCAAGATCTACTGTTACTGATGTTTTACCTCTTTGAGTGAAGTGTAGAAAACTTGTTTCCATATGAGTCTCTTTACTATCACTACTTTTTAGATATAATTATCTTAAATATTTCCTCTATGTTCCTTGAGCATCCAACCAGGTAGGTCACTAATTTTTGCTTCAACTATTAGAAATGGCTTAAAAACTTAACAGAAGTTTGATTATACATTATATTTATGCTTAATTTTACCCATTTAGATGGATGTTTGTAAAAGCTGAAAACCTTCTTCTTTTATCATTTCTTTTCTGTTTAGAGAACTTATTCTTTAAAGGTAAGTTTGTTAGCAACACATTACCTTAGCATTCTTTCATTAGACAATGTTTTCTATGTCACTTTAATGCCTGAAGAATATTATTGCTGGGTATTGAATTTACAGTTCACAGTTCTGTTCCTTCAGTACTTCAAAAATATTATCTGTTTCCTTCCAACCTTCATGGTTTCAGATGGAAAATCTGCTGTGGTTTACATTATTGTTTTTCTGTAAGAAATGTGCCATTTTTCTCTGTTTGCTTTCAAGATTTTTAATTTTTTTTTTTCATTTCCAGAAATTGAATGTATTTGGGTGTATTCTATTTAAGATTTGCTCTGTTTCTTGAATATTTAGGTTTATGTCTTCCATCCAATTTGGGAAGGTTGAAGTCATTATTTTTTAATAGTTTTTTAGTCCCACATTCTATCTCCTCGTCTTCTATATCCCCTGTGATTATGAATGTTAGCTCTTTTATTATTGTTCTAAAGTTTCCTGAAATGCTGTTAAATTTTTTTTTTATCAGTTTTCTTCTTCTTGTTCAGACAGTAAATTCTGTTGGCATGTTTTCAGATTCACTGATTCCATCTTCTGCTCTGTGCTCTCTTCTTTTGTGACCATCCTCTGAATCTATTATTTCCATTATTGTATTTTAATTTTATTTAGTTCATATTTACTTTTTATAACTTATGTCATTATTGAATTTACTTTTAATTTTAACTTTTATTTGTTCCAAGAGAATACAATATATAATTGCTTATTTAAACACTTTTATGATGGTTTCTTTAAAATCCTTGTTAGATAATTCCAACCTCTTTTTTTTTTTTTTTTTTTTTTTTTTTTTTTGTCTGAAACAGTCTCACTCTGTTGCCCAGGCTGGAGTGCAGCGGTATGATCTTGGCTCACTGTAACCTCCATCTCCCAGGTTCAAGTGATTCTCCTGCCTCAGCCTCCCAAGTAGCTGGGATTACAGGCATGTGCCAATGCACCCGGCTAACTTTTTATATTTTTAGTAGAGGCGGGGTTTCGCCATGTTGGACAGGATGGTCTTGAACTCCTGACCTCAAGTGATCCACCCATCTTGGCCTCCCACAGTGCTGGGATTACAGGTGTGAGCCACTGCGCCCAGCCCCAACACCTTTTTCATGTCTGTGTTGGTGTCTGTTGTCTTTCTCTTATTCAGGTTATGATTTCCTAGTTCTTTTGTTTTATAAGTGATTTTTATTGTGTCCTGAATATTTTTTTATATTATGAGAATCTTTTCTCTCTTATTATTTCGTAGATGGTTCCCTATTGATGTGTAACCTGAGAGCTGGGTGGGTGTGCATGTTTATCTTCCTGATGGGACCTACTAATACCATCCTATCAAAAGTAGAGTACTAACTTATACTTCCTTCTTGTAGACTGGTTAGGTGGAAGTTTGTCTTCTCCCTCCACCCACTGGCAACCTCATGGCAAAAGTAGGGTACTGAGTTACATATCTTTGTTTCCTCCAAGTGAAAAAATAACCTCACTTCCCTGATATGGTCCACTGACACCAGGGAGGGGGTGAGTAGGGGCCAACTCATACCACTTGGTTGCTTCCAAGGAGTAGGAGTTGGAAGAAGCTGTGTAAGAACAGAACTGATCATTAAAGACCCTATTATAAATTATTGCTTTTATAGTACTTATTCTCGTGGCTTAAATAATCCACACCAATTAATCACCACAGAATATATGAGACATTATATTAATTATTAAATTTTACATGGCAACACTAACAATATTAACTCCCATTTTCTATCTCTTTAATTGAGGTCATTCTTTAGAAGTTTAAGTATAATCCATGCTTCTGTCCTACACGACTGAGTGAAATAGCATGTAACAGCAACATATAGTACCAGTATGTAATCCTAATGCAATGGCACACCCCAGATGACCCTTTTATGTATTGGGATTGACTATGGTTTTTCAGTTTAATCAAAGTTTAATTGATTAAACTCGGGGTTCACATTTTCTTTCTACACACCAATATTGAAGAGAAGTACTACAAAATACATAGGAGCACTAAACTGTTAGTAATAAGAAAAACATAAAATATTTAAGATAATGTGCTGCTTTTATTTCTAATATTAGCTACTGATACAATCAAAGCACTGCGGCTCAGTTTTCTCTTTTGTAAGAGGACAAGTTTGTATTAGTTAATCTTTAAATGTCTCTACAATCTGATTCTGAGATTGTGAATAAATAGATCTAAATACTCTTATAGGTATATAAATACAGATATAAATGCAGGTATGGGTAAAATTATGGATATGGGTCCCAGCCTTAATTTCTTATTTTTTTTATAACTAACTGATGTTCAGGGATAGATTTATGTGATCTGCTCATTTGCAGGGGCCCATCACTTGGCTAATTCTTTGGTGTCATTCGTGTCAAGTTTTAAATAATTTTTGAGTAAGATGTCCTATATTTTAATTTTGCACTGAACACTGCAAATTTTGTAGCTGTTCCTGTTAATTTGTTAATGAAATTTCTCTTTAGAAACTATTAAATTAATAAGACAATAATTAAGCAAATAATTATTAAATTTTACATGGTAACACTAGCAATATTAACTCCCATTTTCTATCTCTTTAATTCAGGCCATCCTTTAGAGGTTTAAGTATAATCCATTCTTATTTCCTACACAACTGAGTGTGTAGTACCCGTATGTAATCCTAATGTAATGGCACACCCCAGATGACCTTTTTGTGTGTTGGCATGGCTTTTCAGTTTAAGCAAAAGTTTAATTGATTGAAACTTGAAGTTCACATTTTTTTTTCTACACACCAATATTGAAGAGAAGTCCTACAAAATACTTATTCCATGGAAAAAAACAAAGTCCACTTTAGATCTAAAATGTATGTAATTGGTTGCATAAAATTTTGAGAATAAATTCAATGTTATATAAATGTAAGTAAAAATTTTACTGTAAACTTTGTAAATGCTAACTATAAACAGAAAACAAGTATATCTTATATAAAGAAATGTGTAGACTCTCTGTATTAATCCATTTTCACATTGCTATAAAGAATACCTGAGACAGGGTAATTTACAAAGGAAAGAGGCTTAATTGACTCACAGTTCTGCATGGCTGGGGAGGCCTCAGGGAACTTACAATCATGGTGGAAGGGGAAACAGGCACGTCTTACATGGCAGCAGGGGAGAGAGAGCATGTGAAGGAGGCACTGTCAAACACTTGTAAAACCATCAGATCTCATGAGAACTCATTCACTATCATGAGAACATCTAGGGGAAACTGTGCCCATGATCCAATCACCTCCCACCAGGCCCCTCAACACATGGGCATTATGGGGATTACGATTCAAGATGAGATTTGGGTGACAGCACAGAGCCAAACCATATCACTCTCTGTGCCTTGTTTTTCTCATACTAGTCAATGCCAACTCATTAAAAGTTATCTGGAGATTTAACATTTTTGGGGGATTATATATTGCCACTACTGTTATATTTTTGTCAGGATAATGTAGCAATTCCCAAATAAATCATACTTAAACCTCCACAGAAAAGACACATAGAAATGAGAATTCCATTGCCAGCATTGCTTTGAAAAACATTTCAGAACTTTGAATATATATACTCATATATAAACACACACACATACACAGATATACATTTCTGCATGTGTATATACATATATGGATACATATGTTCTTAAACTTTCTTTTAACAGAAAAATTAAAATACAAGGAAAACAATAGAGCACTATTTATATAACTAGTATTATATAAATAATGTTATGTAACTAGTTATATAATTAAAAATATAAGAACCTAGGTGAGAATGAGAAAATCTAGATTTAGATTTACTACTTTTCCTAATACACACCCACACATATATATGTGTGTGTGTGTGTGTGTGTGTGTGTGTGTGTGTGTGTGTGTATATATATATATACTGTATTTGTCTCATAGTGGCTGGAGCACATTACTACCAACTTAGTGGATTAAAACACCACAAATCTACTATCTTACAGTTCTGCAAGTAAAGACTAAAATAGAGTCACATAGGTGAAGATCAAGAGCTTCTACTCTCTTGAGGCTGCTTGGATTCTTGGCTATAACCCCTTTCTCCAACTTGAAATCCTGTCACTCCAACCTCTGCTTTCATGACACATCTCCCATCTCCTTCCTAACTCGAAGGCATCTTCTCAGTCTTACAAGAACTCCACTTGGGTTCACATTTGGAACACCCAAATAACCCACCTTAATATTCTCATCTCTAGATCCTTAAATAATTGCTTCTACAATGTCTTTTTGTCATGGAAGGTGACATTTTCACAGGTTCCAGAAATTAGGACGTCGACATTTTAGTAAGCCATTATTCTGTCTACCACAGTGGCCTTGAATAGAAATCCTTCAGTTTTCATATACAGAAACAAAACATTCTTCCAAATGAGGAAGCTAGATTGGGAAAAAAAAAAGTCAGCCACACAGTTCTCCCCATTAAAACTTAAAGATGGGTACATATTGTATTCTGAGTCAAAATGGAGAGTCTTCCTATATAACTCCCTTTCCGTTGTATGATTTGTCACTTAATATCTCTCTCTTACTTGAAGTCAGAGAACAGCAAACAGTTTGCAAAATATATAAATAGTCTATAAGTTGTGGTCCAAATAGTTCTTAGAATTCAGCTACATCTAAGTACACAATTACTTATTTAAGCTTGATTCAGTGAAACAGATTTTCAGTTGAGTTTCTTAATGGGAATGACCAGTCACATTTTTCAAATTTGGCTTTATGCATAAATTGACAAATTATTTATAATTTGAAACATCTGGGCTCATTTTTTAAAAACAACTCATAAAATAAGAAATCATTTTATTGGTTCAAGCATGCATGCTATTAAATGACTCATCTTAATTTTTATCTTTTCATAAATGTTGAAAAATCTCAAGAAACCATTATGTTGTCCTAAAAATGGTCAGGCAAGGTTAATTTGTTTTTGATGTTTAGATAGTTAGGTTATTTCTCATTTTTCTTTTAGGGATGATGTTGCTATCCTAAAGCTTGACATTGGTTAGAGTCAGCCAATGTCAAATTTTTACCTATAGATAGTCTTAGAAAGATATTGCAAATTAGTGCTGCTTCTAGTAGCTAAAATAACCTGCAGCTAGCTGGCAGGCAGCAGTGAATATTTTAAAAGGTGTACCAAATTACATTTAGATTTTCAGTTCCTTTTGAAGCAAAAAGAATATTCAAAGCTTGGAAGTCTTTGACTCTCATAAGCCTAGTAGATTTCAAGTATAAACATAGATTTAAAGATGGTTTACCGACAAATTGTGGGTTTTATGTTATAATCTCAGATTAATGATTTTTTCCTTTTTGTGATTTTTTTCCAAAGTAATTGTAAAGGACTGTGTGTGTGTGTGTGAGAGAGAGAGAGAGAGAAACAGAGAGAAAGAAACAGAGATAGAGACATTGTCCAAATGTACACGTAAGACTTTCTGTGACAATTACACGTGGATTATCTAGTAACAAGTTTAACTACATGAAGCAATTGTATATCATCAGATATATACTATATGAAACAATTGTGTATAATCAGATTTATACTACATGAAGCAACTATATATAATCAGATTTACACCACTTTCTGAAGAAAACTACAATTAATTGGATACTAAAATGGTTTCTGAAAGCCTAATTATTCTCAAGTCCATATGTGTGTTTGGTGGGATGGCAGTGAGTTTTTGGAACAAGCTTAACTGTTTTTTGAAATAGCTGTGAACTTCACAAGTTAGAAGAAATACATGTCACAAGAAATTTTCCATGTGGAGACAATTTAGTAGTATTTCCACAATTATGTTCAATAAGTGTAAATTATAAAATGATATTTTTGCTCAAAAATAAATGAAAATAACACGTTTTAAACAAAAGTAGACTCACCCACCCTCCAGAATGATATCCAAAGACCAAAGGAAGTTTGGCCTTTTTTAGGCATTTGAGACTTGCTTTCAGTAAATCATATCATCATATTTATTTCTATAACTTTTCTTTTTTTTTGAGATGGAGTCTCGCTTTGTCACCCAGGATGGAGGGCAATGGCGTGATCTTGGCTCAGTGCAGCTTCCGCCTCCTGGGCTCAAGTGATTTTCCCACCTCAGCCTCCCCAGTAGCTGGGATTACAGACGTGAGCCACTATGCCTGTTTATTTATTTATTTATTTTTTTAAGTAGAGATGGAGTTTCACCATGTTGGCCAGCCTGGTCTAAAACTCCTGACTTCAAGTGGTCCACTCACTGTGGCCTCCCAAAGTGCTGGGATTACAGGTGTGAGCCACTGTGCCCGACCTCTGTAACTTTTTATATTAGTGTTTATCATCAGTACGCACAAAAAACCACTTTTTGAATATCTTTTTCTCATATTTTTAATTATTAAGAACAAGGCAAAAATGTGTATACATTAGGTAAAAACTGCCAAAGCATGTCCAAAGAAGGAATAAAGTTCTGTAAATACTCAGAATCAACAGTTGAATACCTATTCAGGTTTTCAGAGTTAAAAGCACAAATGCATATTTTAGTCTCTTTTCATTTTATTTTAAATATGACTATCCATATAATGACTACTGCACAGTTTCATATAACTCCCTTATTTGTGTATTTAGTAACTGAGATTCATTTTTTTAATTAGTACCTAAATAATTACTAGTAATCTGAAACTAATTTTCTTTTGTGAGGGCAAAATGCTTTTTCTTTTAATAGGAAAAAGCAAAAAGGAAGTTAGTTTAAGTATTTTTTAAATAAAAGAAATTGACAAAATAAAAAGCATGTTAAATTTAATTGTAACCCTGATGTATGTAAAACCTTTATTAAAAATATTTTTCCAAAGTTCTTATTAAGCTTTAATTAGCTATTTGTATATATTACCTTACTGGCATTTTAAAAGTCTAATTATTACATATTGTGTGGAAAGATTTAAACATTCAGAAAATATAAAACTCAGTGCAACTATTTTTTCCTACTCTTCATGTATTATAATTCAGTCTTTTTTTGATAATTTTATATATATATATAGAAGGTATGATATTTATATTACATTTAAAATTTAGTACAACTTTTATTAAAGTATACATATTATTTGTACAATGCTTTTTTCTTTTCTATATCTATACAGCTTACCCATTTTTTAGAAGGCTGCATTTTTTTCTATAACATGTGTATGTTGTACTTTACTTGTCTATATCCCCATTAAGAGATATGTTGCTTCCAGGTTTCATTATTATAAATACTGTTTCAGTGAACAGCTTTCAATATACATCTTTGTGCCCATGTGACAATAAAAGTATTTTTGTATGCATCTGGAAGTATAATAGTTATAGTGTCCATGCATTTTCAATTGGGTTGTTGTTTCAGAATAGCCCTACGTTTTTCAAATAATTCTAATTCAAAGGACTGCTCCCCTTTCAAACCTGGTAAAAATTGAAGTCCTTAATGCTTTTGCCAGAATTAGGCTGAATTGACAGAGCACTGATATGTAGAAGATATATATATATATATATATATATATGTATATTATATATATAAAATATTATAAATATATTATATATATAAAATTCTTAAAATTTAGCAAGTAACTCAACAACAAAAATGACAGATAAAAGAAGCAGGTCATGCATAGCCTATCTGCCTGAGATTTATTTAACCCTTCTTCAGAAGAGGCTTTGATTCTTGTCTCTCTGTGTCTACCTATAGACAGCATTTCTCCCAGGAAGCTTGCCCTGACCTCCTAGAATTGGTTATGTACCATTTATATATTTTTCATATTCCACTGTACATAACTCATAACAGAAATTATCACAAGGGAACAGCTGTGGTTTTATTGTTATGTCTAGCTATCCAGCTATCATCTTCACCAGACTGTAAGCTCCTTGAAGGCAGAAGCCAGATTTATCTTCATGACCTCTGTGTTTTAAATGAGGTCTGACAGATAGAGGTCAGAATTTTCCCTCTAGGTAAATTAATTAGATTAACCTCAACTTATACAAAACAGTAGTCATTAAATTTATCCCCAGCCATCAGGAGCTTAACTACTCTGGAGAGAGAGCCAGGTGTTGGAGTAGGCAATTAAGACATCAAGACAAAAGGACATTAACAAACCTTTGAGGTTAAACTGGAAAAAGCCCTGACGGTCCAGTTCCCATCCTTTTTTTCCTCCATGAAACAGCTCTATCAAGGATCACATGGGTCGGCACAGATGTGGGGTTGTCTATCAAAGGAACCCTGAACAACAGGCTCCTGCAGTTTTATGGAAGGTCAGGAAAAGGCTGGTAGTGGAAAAGCACTGAGTATTGAATCAGAAGGAAGACAATTGTCTTCAAGACTCCTCCTCCTCTCCCCATGAAAAGGAGGTCTTGGGCAAACATGCTTGGGGAAGGTCTGCCAAGGTCCCACAGTGGAGAGGCCTCCAGGGGAGGCACCAGTCAAGTGATGCTGATCTGTGTGTGAGCATGGCCCTGCAGCCCTTACTGAAACTGCCATTAGAGGACTATGCACTAGTGTAGGGAGGGCAGCTCTCCCTGTGGGACCCACTTGGTCAAGTTTATGGATGGGCCCAAAAATCACATATAGGATTGAGTCTGGGGCTGAACTCTTTACTGCTCTGTCTGTATTCCCTATCTTGGTTGACACCTAATACATGATTAAGAAACTAAGAAATCATTTTAGACATCATTTTTGTGTCTGTGTTTTATGCTTTGTTGGCTTGAAAACTTCATCCAATTGAACTTTAGTTATTTTTATTACCATTTCTTCCTTTATGACCCTACAGCATCCTCCATGTGCCAGGGTCCAAATCATCTTTAACCTGGACTATTGTATCAGTATCCAAATATATTCTTTCATCAAAATATATTCTCTCTCTTCTCTGGCTGTAATCTCATTCATTTCCAGGCTACTTCTTTTCAAACTAAAAAGCAAATATAATCACACTATTCTCTTTCTTAAAACACTTTCCCAATTCCTAGAGTAAAATCCCCCTTTTATAACATATAAGGCCTCAGTCACCTACCCTCAGGACTTCTTTAATTATTCTCCCATATTGTCCTATTATGTACCTGTTCCATCATCCTTACAACCCTCAGAACTGCCTAATCTGTTTTAATGCCACATTGTTATGCTTTTAATTTCCTTTGATAAAATGATTCTTTCCATTCATAAACTAGTTGATTACCACAATTTCTTAAGTATTCTATTGAAGTTTATCTTATTAGTCCATTTCACACTGCTATAAAGATACTACCTGAGAATGGATAATTTATAAACAAAAGAGGCTTACTTGACTCACAGTTCCACATGGCTGAACTTATAAGTAAACTTATAATCATGGTGGAAGGTGAAGGGAAAGCAAGGCAAGTCTTACACTGTGGCAGGTAAGAGAGAGAGCATGCAGGGGAAACTGCCACTTATAAAACCATCAGATCTCCTGAGAACCCCCTCACTATCACAAGAACAGCATAGAAAACCACCCCTTTGAGCTAATCACCTCCCACCAGGTCCCTCCCCATGACACATGGGGATTACAATTCGAGTTGAGATTTGGGTGGGGTCACAGAGCCAAATCATAACATGTATCTTCTTTGCCAAGATTTTCCTTACAACGCAAAGTAGATTGACATATTTTAATTTCTTCCGTCCCACCCCACCATAATATTCTTACCTCTATGACAGTGCTTATCAAAATTTGTAGCTATTATTTGTTTAAATGACTTCATTATGCTTCTTAAGAGGCATAAACTTTCTGCTATATTCATCTTTGTATGCCTGTCACACATTACATTGGCTGAGACAAGGTAAATATTTAATACATATCTATTAAATAAGAAACTTAAAAAAATAAAAGAGTGAATGAATAACTATATCTAGAAAGTATGAAAGTGACTTATCTTTTAGCATTTTTCATCAAGGAATTAAGAAATGTGTGGGGAAAAAGTTAAGAGGCCCCAGTTAAAATGGCTTTTATCCCAAATTCAGGCAATAACAAATGTTGGCGCGGAGATACAGAAAAAGGAACCCTTGTACACTGTCAGTGGGAATGTACATTAGTATGACCCTTAAGGAGAACAGTCTGGAGGTTTCTCAAAAAGCAAAAATTGAGCTATCATATGATCCAGCAATCCCACTCCTGGGTATATAACCAAAAGAAAGGACATAGTATATCAGAGAGATATCTGCACTCCATGTTTATTGCAGCACTACTCACAATAGCCAAAATTTGGAATCAACCTAAGCATCCATCAAGAGATGAATGAATAAAGAAAATATAGTACATATACAAAATGGAATACCATTCAGCCATAAAAAAAAATGAGTTCCTGTCATTTGCTACAATGTGGATAGAACTGGAGGTCATTATGTTAAGTGAAACAAGCCAGGCACAGAAAGACAAACTTCGGATGCTCTCACTTATTTGTGGGAGCTAAGGCTTAAAACAGTTGAACTCATGGAGATAAACAGTATAAAGGTTAACAGGCTGAGAAGGGTAGTGAGGGTTTGGGAGGAAAGCGGGGCAGACTAATAGGTATAAAAACATAGTTAGAAAGAATGAATAAGACCTAGCATTTGCTAGCACAACAGGGTGACTATAGTCAAAAATAATTTAATTGTACATTTTAAAATAACTAGAAGAGTATAATCAGATTGTTTGTAACACAAAGGATAACTGTGTGAAGTGATGGATATTCAATTTACCCTGATGTGATTATTATGCATGTATCAAAGCATCTCATGTACTCCATAAATATATACACCTACTACCTACCCACAAAAAATAAAAATAAAAAAGAGGGAAATGTTACATCTTAGTTTACTAGAAGTGCATTAGTTTAGACAAGAATCATTTCTTCCTTGGCTATGCTTTGAGGTATGTAGAGCTTAATGTTGTGAAAGTTTAGCAATGTCTGCATAGCCATGTCTAAACTGAATAAATATTTTTAATAACTAGTATTATATTTTTAATATAGAAAATTAGAGAAAATGAAAGCATATATAAAATTAGCCCATGATCTCATCACTGAGAAGCACTGTAAATTTTGAAACTTAGCACAATATATGAAAAGCCATCCAAATATGATTGGAGTAGGTAGAAGAGGAGGAGAAGGAGAAGCAGCAAAAGAAGGAGAGGAGAGAAAGAATTGAAAGGAGAAAAGGGGCCGGGCACGTTGGCTCACGCCTGTAATCCCACCACTTTGGGAGGCCGAGGTGGGCGGATCACGAAGTCAGGAGATCCAGACCATCCTGGCTAACACGATGAAACCCCGTCTCTACGAAAAAAACAAAAAATTAGCCGGGCGTGATGGCGGGCGCCTGTAGTCGCAGTTACTCGGGAGGCTGAGGCAGGAGAATGGCATGAACTAGGGAGGCGGAGCTTGCAATGAGCCAAGATCGCGCCACTGCACTCCAGCCTGGGTGACAGAGGGATACTCCGTGTCAAAAAAAAAGGAGAAAAGGAAGAATGTGGAGGGAAAGGGGGAGAAAGAGGAAAAGGGAGAAGAAAACGAGGGCAAGGCTCTAGCCTTTCTCCCCACCAGAAACCATCAAAGAGAGTTTCTAGTGCTTCCTTATGGTATACATAAACTCACAGACACCAACACATGCATACACGCACATACATAAATCCACACATTGTATAACTTTGTGTGCATATATATGTATGGAAGTGCATATGACTTTTTCATATTTTTAACAGAAGAATTTATTAATTAATATCCCCATTTATGCATTGATATTGTATATTGGAGAGTTTTCCATATCAATACTTACTTTACCTTTCTTTTGGAAATCTGAGTAGTCCATCAGATGGCTATACCATAATTTAGTTGAGCAGTGCTCAGTTGATACATATTATCACATATTACATTGGGTGAAATAACATACATATGCTCATGCATAATAAATTGCCACACACTTTTAAACAACTAGATCTTGTGAGAACTCACTCAGGATACATTACCAAAGGGGGATGGTGCTGAACTATTCATGAAAACTCTGCCCCTATGATCCAATCACGTCTCACCAGGCCATACCTCCAACACTGGGGATCACAATTCCACATCAGATTTGGGCGGGGACACAGACCCAAACCACTTAAATGTGTGTGTGTGTGTGAGTGTGTGTGTGTGGGTGTGTGTAACTCAATATGGAGCTGTAAGTCTGTAAAAATTGAATTTGAGAAAGTTGAAGTGTCATGTTCTCCAAAGAAAAATACCCAATGACACAATTTGCTGTTTTCAAGCAATCCTTTTGTCAAATAAATCTTATGGCTGTGGCCAGAATCCATAGATAGTAAAAAGATTTAGTGACTGCTTCGTGCTTTCTGTTAGTTTTATCTTCTATCTGATTACAAAAGTTTCACAGGGGAGTACACTGCCACGTTTGAGTTCAGTGAACAAATGTGTAATGAATTCTCCCTGCCTTACCGCTTCTCCTCCACCTCCTCTTTTCCACAGTTGCCATATATAAATTTCTCCCCTAGATATCTATGTTCAGATCCATTACCATCTCCCATTCTTATGTCAGTACTTTCTACCACTTAATTTACATCTAGAGCAACCTCCCATTTCTCAGTTGACAAATTTTCTCTTTCCACCTGTGCTAATCTGCTACTTGTTTTGTTAATATAAATCTTGAGTCAAAAGAGGATCCCCCCAGGAGTATTATATGCTGTAGAATATATGGATGATATTCCATCAAAAGTTGTTTTTAAATAAACCTTCCTCCCACTTTGCAATGAATCTTGATATGCCCAAGTTAATATTTCCTTAATTATTTAGAAGTGCTGTTTTATTATAAACCTGATTTACTGGAGGTGCATTTTGGAATACTAAAAAATATCATGGATGCTCTGCCCTGTTCCCTCTTAGAACACTGTATTTGAGGCCCAATGGCATTTTCACTTTAGTTATACCCAAGTCTCATTAGGATATACAGCCTATTAGTCTCATATTTAATTTCAACGTATAAAAAAGAGATAACTGATGTTCAACATAATAAAATTAATAATAGCACAAATATAATGACATTAAATTAAATAATTATAAATTGGGAATTAAAACCATGAAACTTTATCTGCTTCAGATTTAAATATTCTTAGTGATTGTGATCTAAATATTAAACTCTCGTGTGTGTCAAGAGAACATTTTCCACTTGTTATGTATGAGATAATGTACTTAATGAATATCGATGATAGCTTGCTAATGTTGGATATACAATTTCATATTTTTCTCTACAATTGAAAATAGCTCTGTCAATTCCTGAGATACTAGATACAATGATAAAGAAAGTGAGAGTTTTGTACGTGGATATTTTACTTTGGAATTAGAAAAGAAACAGCAAAAACTATGACATGATGGCAATGTACATGTTTTAAAAATTGTACATGATTTTATCTAGTATTGCAACATTTGCTACTATCTTTTTTTTTTGAGATGGAGTCTTGCTCTGTCACCAGGATGGGACTACATGCATGTGCCATGACACCCAGCTAATTTTTGTATTTTTAGTACAGATGGGGTTTTGTCATGTTGGCCAGGATGGTCTCGATCTCTTAACCTCATGGTCCACCTGCCTTGGCCTCCGAAAGTACTGGGATTACAGGCGTGCGCCAGCGCACCCGGCCTTGCTAGTCTCTTTTATTTTTATTTTTATTTTTTGAATGATGTGCAATTATAATTTGATAACAGACAAGACAGTGAAAACAAATTAATAGAAACCACAAAATTCTGGATGTTTCAAACTTTGCTGTGTCAGAGTTCCTCTGCAGAGAGCTGAGTATTTTTTATCCAAAAGAATGTAGTGATTAATTTTTTATTGAATGACTTTTATTTTAATCACAATGATTTATGTTTGTGTTTTTAACTGCACATCAAAGGATGTTCCAATATCCAGAAAATTAATTCTTATTTCATTTTTAGAGGACAAAATAGAATCAATGAAACATTGAAGTTTGCTACTAATTAATTTTTTAAAAAGTATGACTGTAGTCTCTTTTATTAGGCCATAGCGTGTTCCCATTTGCTAAATAGTTTTACTGGTGCATATTATATTTGACCAGCATATGAGGTAGAGTTAATTCCAACACTTTAAAATAAAATCACTATCTTATGATTAAAAGTAAAACAATTCATGTTTGTTTCATTTGTGTAGAGTATCCTAATGTTGTTTTGTAAAACTTAACATTGGTGACAGATAACAGACATCAGTAAAAGTTGTTAAAATGCCGTGATTATAAAATTGAAAGATTAAAAAACCTGTGTTTGTCATCACCCCCAGGGTCCACCTTTCAAGTCTTGACCACTTATGCTATCAACAGCATGATTTTTATTTCTAAAAATCTCCATGACACCTTTATGTCTGAATCAATCTTGTTGGTCAATGAAATCTTTACTAATGAGGTTAAACAGGAAAAGAGCAATCAATTTGTCTCTTCTTAAGGCCAGTCTTAGTACACAAAATCAAGAAAAGGTTTAGGAAGGAAAATCCAACCATAATTGGCCAAATTGGTAGACTAAAGTGCAGTCTATTTTGGAATT
Organism: Homo sapiens; assembly: GCF_000001405.40. Lineage (NCBI taxonomy): Eukaryota > Metazoa > Chordata > Mammalia > Primates > Hominidae > Homo > Homo sapiens. The sequence goes on along the minus strand of NC_000005.10, from coordinate 21,931,705 downwards.
AGTGCATTATGATATTTTAAAAATTGGATTTAAGATTGGAAAACAACTTAAACCATAATGTGGGAGTCAGACTGTGCTCACTATAATATGCATAGCTTCTCATTTTTATGTGTTAACCTGAAAGTCAGTTATTCTTGGGCAGATTTATTATGCATTGAAAAAACATGTGACATTTTGCTTTTTTCAGGAGTAACTTTGTTCAAGCACCGCTATTAGTGAATATTTCTTTTGTTCATTGATCCATTAGTTCATGCTACCTTAACTCCAGGCCCTCTGGGATCTGAACTGCAGCTGATGTTAAGTTTATTCTCAAATTACTTCTTTAAAAGCCTATTATAGGTAGTTTCTAATTAGACACCCCCAGATGGTATGAATCAAGCAGCTGTAATCCCAGCTGGGAACCAGTGTGAGGAAATGTTCTATTTTTTTTTCTATTCTCTTCTTAGCTTTTTTTTCCTCTATCACAACTTTCAGTGTTCTCAAATTTCACAGGCATTTGAATCCTGTAAGTTGTTGTATCATATGCTCTGGAATACTAATAAGATATCCTGTTCTAGCAATAAAGATAGAGGCTCTGTGAATTTAATGGACCACTTGGACTTGTGAATGATCCAGCTAAAAGTTATGTCATAAAACAATCTGCCTATGTATTAACATTAACACTGAGAGCACTTTATACACATAAAGCTCGAGACATTTTGGCACATACCTGTTTTCCCCAGCTCCCCATGATCTTCCTAAATCCTTCCAAAATCCCTTTTAGGTTATGGGATGTGATTCAATAATCCACTAATTTGGGTCTAGAATACTAAATACAGCTCATTTGAGGTATTTTTGTAATAAAAATGATGGTAATGTTAACTACTTACACATCAATTATCAATAACTTTATATGTTCTTATTATACGAAGTTGTTGATCTATGAATTATTTCATTAACCTCAACAATTGTATGTTACAACTTTTTTATGTACTTATACTGTGCTACATTCTTATTCTACAGATGAATAAACTGAGGCTTGGAGAAGTAATAAAATGTTCCAGCATCATGCAAGAAGGAATATAGTAGGGATGGGAGTTAATATTCTAATAAAAATCACCAACATTTGTTGAGTGTCTACAAAGAGTCAGACAGTGCGCTAAATTTTCAAGAAACAGGTTATAATCAGGACAACCCTATTATGTATCTTGCAAGCTAGGATAATGTGACCTAGGACAAGAATTAACCAAAAGGCATGATGGGAAATGACTGTAAATCAAGATTGTCCCTGGCAAATATGGATATTGTATTACTAAGATTACACTTTGTGTAAAAACTTCCACATAATGTAAAATCACTCTCTATATTTTAAACTTTGATTTAATAATAATAAGAAAAGTTTCCTCCACAATCATGACTAGCAAACAGTGGTGCTGCAATCTGGCATGTGTCAAGCAGTTAAACATGGCAACATCATTTCCTCTCAGAATTACCAATCAATCTTTTTCAAGACCCTCTTTCTTGCTCCAAACATAAGCACTAATCACTTTCACAGCTCACTGAAGCCAGCCCTCTTTGTCCATCCTTCACTCATTAAATCTGTGATTTGAGACACTGTCTCTACCAAATCAAGATTATCCATATTTACTATGTTACTAACTAACTGGTAAAGCAAAATTTCTGATTACATAGTAACTAACACCAAAATAACAGTAAATGGAGTTGTGCTGCCCTTCAGAAAACCATCTGATACTCAAAATGAGTGAACCATGGTAGAATTTCCAGAGGGCATTTTGGGCTGTGGGATTATCTAGGATATATGAGAGCAGTATTATCTGTCATCTTTGCCCAGGAGGACATATATCTGTAGGAAATTGTTCAGTTTTCTTGTCTTTCAAAATATCTTATTGCTGGACACTGTGGCTCATGCCTGTAATCCCAGCACTTTGGATGGGCTGAGGCAGGAGAATCACTTGAGTCCAGGAGTTCAAGACCAGCCTGGGCAACATGGTGAACCCCGCCTCTACAAAAAAATACAAAAAGTAGCCAGGTGTGGTGGCACACACCTGTAGTCCCAGCTACTCGGGAGGCTGAGGTGAGAGGATCACCTGAGGTTGGGGAGGTTGAGGCTGCAGTGAGCGGAGATCATACCACTGATTCCAACCAGGGTGACAGAGCAAGACCCTGGTAACTTGCATTACCACCTGAGCTCTGCCTCCTGTCAGATCAGTGGTAGCATTAGATTCTCATAGAAGCATGAACCCTATTGTGGACTGAGCATGCCAGGGATCTAGGCTGTACACTCCTTATGAAAATCTAATGCCTGATGATCTGTCACTGTCTCCCATCACCCCAGAAGGGACCATCTAGTTGCAGGAAAACAAGCTCTAGGATTCCACTGATTCTATACAGTGAGTTGTATAATTATTTCATTATATATTAAAATGTAATAATAATAGAAATAAAGAGCACAGTAAATGTAATGTGCTTGAATCTTCCTGGAACCATCCCCCTCCACCCACCATCCATGGAAGAATTGTCTTCCATGAAACTGGTCCCTGGTGCCAAAAAGGTTGGGGACCGCTGATATAGAGTACATTCCTACAGCCCAATTTTGAATATATATTTGGCCTCCCACTTCCCCTTGATTTCCTAATAGTATTCTCATTACCATAAATCTCCTTTTTCTCTCTTCCATGCCAAAAATCTGTGCAGGAAGGGTGAATTCTGGGTGGTCTTGTATGATGGTCATTTATGGAAGAGCAAAGAATGAAGAAGGAAAATCAAGAATGATCAAAGACCCAAGAATATGTGCTCTTCTTTCAAGGAAAGAATGTTAAATTGAAAGAGTAATTTATACTACAAATGTTACAAATCACCAAAAACACAAAGTGGAATGTAGATTTTTCCATTTTGGGGATTAGCCAAAAGACTTGTAAAATTACATTAAAAAGGTAAAATATCTGATAGCATTACTCAGTTCATTGGCAAGGAAATAATGTATGCCAAGAGTAAATATGCAAAGCTCAATTAATAACTAGTATACAAAAAATACAAAATTAAAAAAAAACTCTTGATAGAATTTTTAGAAGACACGAGCATACTTAAAAAAACAGTGACACAAATGGCTGATAAACTCTAATCCTCATACATCACTGCATATTTTCTGTTTCCATCGCTCATCCTTTTCCAACTCCTGACATTGTCTAGAGTGTGCTTTGGAACATGCAATACATCATAAGCAAAATCTTGAATGTTGAATGTTCTCAATGTCTGCTCTCTCATTCATCTTCTTGCTCTAACCAGCACTGGAGTCTTGCATGACAACATTGCTTTCCTCCAAATGTAAAGTGGCTATTTTTTCTCCCACTAACTCCATGCTAGGAACACTGAAGGTGAGAATGAGTGTGTTTCATTTTCCTTATTGTCTATTCTGGATCATTTTTCTTTTGTCCTCACTAAAGCCTTTCAAAATACTGGAAACTTTACCTTGAAGCCCGCTCTAGGTCTCTCTCCAGAACAACCTATGTTGTGATTCTTGGTGGTTTCAATATCTATAAAGATGGCAGATGATCATAGTCATAGTCAAATGTTTTCATCATTGTTCTTATTACCATAGTCAAATGTTTTCACCATCATTCTTTTATTTTTTTTTTAGGAAGAGTCTCGCTCTGTCTCCCAGGCTGGAGCACAGTGGCGAGATCTGGGCTCATTGCAAGCTCCGCCTCCCGGGTTCACGCCATTCTCCTGCCTCAGCCTCCTGAGTAGCTGGGACTGCAGGCGCCAGCTACCAAGCCCAGCTAATTTTTTTTTGTATTTTTAGTAGAGACGGGGTTTCACCGTGTTAGCCAGGATGGTCTCGATCACCTGACCTCACGATCCGCTTGCCTCGGCCTCCCAAAGTGCTGGGATTACAGACGTGAGCCACCGCACCAGGCCTGTTTTCACCATCATTCTTACTACCAATAACCAGACTCTGAAATCTCAATTGCAAGCATCTGAATCCCTGACCACAGTCTTTCCAGTTCTTTCCCTCTAGTAATCAGATTCTAATAATTTAATAATTTACTCCTTCCCCCACACACTAAACACTATTATGAATTTATTATAATACTTTTCTTTCTTTCTTGTTTTTTTGAGCAGAGTCTTCCTCTGTCACCCAGGCTGGAGTGCAGTGGCACAATCTTGGGTCACTGCAACTTCCGCCTCCCGGGTTCAAGTGATTCTTGTGCCTCAGCTTCCTGAGTAGCTGGGACTACAGTCACACGCCATCATCATACTCAGCTAATTTTTTTTTTTATTTTTAGTAGAGACAGGGTTTTACCATGTTGCCCAGGCTGTTCTCAAACTCAAGCTCAAGCGATCTGCCGACCTGGGCCTCCCAAAGTGTTAGGATTACAGGCGTGAGCCACCGTGCCCGGCCTGATTTATTATAATATTTTTCACTTTTAATCTCTTCCATCTTACCCATCTTCTATTCCTCCTTACCCATCTTAAATGTCATGGTTAATTGTTATTTCACTCTCTTGCATATAATTTAAAATTTTGCTCCTTAATTACTTGATAATACACCAGCCCTGGCTAACTCTGCCTCTCTACTTACTCCACATCTGCCATTACGACAGTGTACTGTGGCTGACGGAAATACACAGCCATGCTGACTTGTTTGCTATGACCACAAACTCCAAGTGGTCCCATATGCTGCTTGGTTATCCCAAGAAATTTCCCTCATTCATTTAGTCAACTGCTGGCCTAGAAAATCTTAAAAACGTTCCTTTTCTCATATGCTGTTTCCTCAAACCTTCACCAACTCCTCCTCCATGTTTTCTCTCAACTAATATCCTACTTCATTTTTTATAGTGAAAACAACAGCAACCAGGAGAGAACATTCTACCATCACCTCTATTGTTGTACACAGTTCTACCTGCATGCACTCGGCCTTCACTCCCGCTCCTACAGCTGAAAGTCAACCCCTTCACTCATATATTAATCTCTATTTTTTCTTCTTCAAAGACATCATTCGAGCAAGTCTTTTTCTTTCCTCCTTCCTCCTCCATAGAACAAGAGATATTAAATCTTGCTTTTATGGAGGGTACTTAATTTGGGGAATTAATAAAGTGCTTTATGTTTATAGTCCTGTTCTCAAGAGTTTATTCCACTCTTTCTCAAGCCATAAGGCTGGCACATTCATAGGTACCAGTGAAACTGGTGGTGTTGCCCTAAAGATATTTTTATATAAGTAAAACCAAGAGAGAGGTAGAGATAGATAGATATATAGAGGAAAGACAAAGAGAGACAGGAACTAAATTAAGATATTCACTGGTTCTAGCCAAGTCAAGTTACCTCCAGAAAATGTCCACCAATGTCTAGGAAATGGGGAAGGTCATCTTGTTTGTGTAAACCTCATCTGCAGAATTTAAGCCAAGTCAATAATTATGTCATTGAATTGCTCAGGGCAGCCCAAACTAGGACAGTCTGATTCCCAGGGCACTGCAACACTATCCCAAGGTCAGTGGATAGTTTATAAAATTCAACTGCATTTCTCAGTTATGGTCTGCCCGAAAACCTATAGCTTCCTGAGCAAAAATATGCACAACACATCAAAGTGTCTGACGTGATTTTTTTTTTCAAAAAAGGTTACAGATCAATCTGAACTTTCAAGTGAGATGAAAGATTCTAACATCTAAAGAAAGATGACAAGATGTGTATTTTCATGACAAAATATAATTTAAAACTTCTTCAGATCCTCCCCCACAAGATGCCAGAAATCATTTCTTTTTTTTTTATCAAAAGCATGTTATTGGAGTCATAATTCATATCCAAGAAAATTAAATAGAAAGTCAGTAGGATATAACAGCATGCTTTCAATTGTCCTGTGCCCAGCTCCTAGCTTGTTTTGCCCACTGTTATGAGGCATGGTATGTGCATATACTCACTCTTATTAATTAAACATTCTATTAAGGAACAATGTCCCGTAATATAAAATGCATCAATTATTGCATATATCTAACATAAATTATGGATACAGTTCTTATGTCTAAACTTGAGCCTAAAGACTGTAAATATATGCACAGAAAGAGCAAAATGAAAAATAACCAAATTAGTTACAATGAATAAATAAGTGAAAATACTTCTTATAACTGATAGTGTTACTTCCATTAACATAATATATTTTAATAGTGGCTTCTATGAAAATGTAACATCTTTTAATTTCAAACATAGGTAACACATTATCAAAGAAACATTCTAGGGATTTTGATGAAAAGGTATTCAGAGCCTGAATACAAGAGTCAATAGGATAGACACAAGTCACATCACGTGGATATGTTTGTGTCAGTTATAATTAGAGGTTTATCTCATTTTCTATTCATTGACTTAAATGATGAAGGGTCCACTTAGTCAAATATTTCAGAAATGCAGTGTTTGAGGGAGGACTTGAAAAGCAGTTTCCTTTAGAGCCACTGTTGCATATATTCATGATGTTTTTCAAACTGTCTTCTTTTCACAAGGGAAAAGCCTGTAAAAATGGATTGTGATTTGTAGGAAGATTCCACATAGAATAAAGCAATGTGGATCTAGCCTCAGGAATATTCAGAATTTGATCTTCCCATCTTTGCTGCTGTAGTAACGCTGTAGCTGGGAATTTTTTTCTTTTTGTTTTAACTTTTCCTCTTTGTTTTGTTGTTTGTGCTTTGTTTTCAGTTTTGAAATGCAGAAAAAAATGATATCTGAATTCTGGATCAAATTAAATATGTTGCATTCTCCAGGAAGATATATACTGGCATATGCTATATGTTGGATACAGATGACCATATCATTGGTCTAATAGAGTATCTCAAATAATATAGTTATTTCTAGTATCAATGGAAAATTCTGAGGATAGCCTCAGTAAATTCTACATAAAAAGTGGCCACATTTGAATAATTGTAGATAGTAAGTGTTCTAAGCAAAATTTTCACATCACCTCAACCGTAAGCCACAAAAGAGAAAGTCAGTAGATTCTTACATTGTCCAACAGTAGTAAGACATTAAAATAAGCTGTCTTTCAGATTTCTGAAATAACCTTAACAACAACAGTGGGACAAGTCAACATCATTTCACCAGTGTAAGTTTTGAGACTTACTAGAACTTAGACAGGACTGAAGATAAGTGCAAAGCTAGTAATTTATTTATTTATTTATTTATTTATGTATTCATGTATTTATTTATTGAGATGCAGTTTGGCTCTTGTTGCCCAGGCTGGAGTACAATGGCACAATCTCAGTTCACTGCAACCTCCGCCTCCTGAGTGGAGGCGATTCTCCTGCCTCAGCCTCCCAAGTAGCTGGGATTACAGGTTCCCGCCACCACTCCCAGCTAATTTTTGTATTTTTAGTAGAGACAGGGTTTTGCCGTGTTGGCCAAGCTGGTCTCAAACTCCTGACCTCGGCCTCGGCCTTCGAAAGTGCTGGGATTACAGGCGTGAACCACCGTGCCCGGCCACAGCTAGTAATTTAAACACATCATCTTCACCTTTATTCATTCTTACTACCTTGCTGTTTCTCTCACAATTCAACAGGGAAAAAAGTGCATGGTTGCTATAATTATAACTACTTTTAGTTTTTCTATTTCCAAGTTTGAGTCAGCAATTGCATTAGTGGTGTTGTTACAGTTTGAGCACTGATGACTTCAAGTGGAAAAACTAAATTAGTACCTAGAGGAAGGAGACAGTTTAGTAATTCTTCTCTGACAATCCACAGCTCTTAATTTTCTCCACTATGAAGACAGTATGCATCCAATATAACATAAGTGCTAGTAGTATATCTGCATGTTCCAATAATTTACCCTATGTCTTCAATTTGCAAAAGAGAAATTTTGATTTATTCCTGTCAATGGCGATTTTAAAAAACGGATCTAAAGTCCAACCCAAGACTGTGAGAAATGCTTTCATAGAAAACAAAAACATTGTAATGGTTAAAAATTATACCAAGATCCATATGAGTTACCTATCCCTCTTTGAAGCACACCCAAAACTTATTAAAAATAATAGAATTATCAAGTTTTAATTGAAGATTTATAGGCATGGATATGCTAGAAAGACTGCTGTATTTTCTCTGGAATCACTGCGGGAATCAGAAACAATCCAGCTCATAGAAGACATGGGGAGCATAAAGAAACATAACAGATACCCTGAGGTATTTGAAGGGTTGGAAGGAACATTATACTATTTAGTTTTGCTTTGAGAAACAAAGCAAGGTATACTAGGAAAACATAGAGAAAACTAGCTGAGATGTGGTAGGGATGGAGTTGTAAATATGGGAAAGATCTCAGGTCAGTGTAATTAAAAACTAACATTTACAAGGGTTCAATAAAAGTTAATTATATATTTGTAATTGTATACACACACACCCACACACGAGAGACAGGGTAACTTGTTCATGTGTTTATACAAATGTTGGAGATTGCTTCTCAAAATCTTTTTTAAAAGATTTTTGCATTGAATAGAAATTTGAATTTGATTACTTGGAATGTCCTTTCTAATCTCAAAATTTCTTAATTCACATAACGTAACTTAGCTGTATTATTATTCACCACCATTATAGTATAGATAGGAAGTTAAAACTTTATTGCATTAAAACAACAAGAAAAATATTAAAGTGGCAATGTTGAAATTATAAAACACAGTCTTTGCTTAAATATGTGTTTAAATTGACCTATTGGAGAGTGTGTACGTGGGTGCGTGCTCCTCTCTCCTTCTCTCCATATATAGATATAGATATAGATATAGATATAGATATAGATATAGATACACATACACACATCTTTCTTTTTATTCTTGTATTTATTACTAGCCTGATTCAACTTAAAAAGAGGAGTATGATGTAGACAAGATATTGGAGAGATAATTATCAACCTTGTATTGGCAGAGAGAAAGGTAATATTATCCTGATAGAGAAATCCAAGCAATCTTTTCTATATCTTAGTCTCTCGGGAAGCCCATAAGTGGATCTTTAAAAAAGAAAAATAAGGGAATAGGGTGAATTGCAGGTAACTGTTCTGCATGCAAAGAAAGATTTATTTTTTCTAGTAAACCATATTTCTGTCTACATATGTATGTCTGTATGAGCCTTGTAGATGATATTATTCAATTTGAATTATGTTCGTATCATCTACCTTTACCTGAGCACTTTCTTGCAAGAGAGAATTGACCTTGTGTATAATCAAGAATTCTTGACTACATATTATGAGAAAGTTCAGAGGCCAGCATATTTATTGCATGTTCAATAATCTTTTTTGGTAAGCAGATGTAGGTTTGATGACCCATAATTCAGCGTTTTTGTAAAGGAAATAATTTTAGCCATTAAGAAGCAAGGCTCATCTGAATTTATTCTAAATGAGATTTCTCATTTTTTCCTAACAGTCCTCTTGTAGCAAACACTTATTCACTGGTTCTTAGATGCTTTTTTATATGATCCTGTACTCTGAAATTCTATGATAATCTTTTATAAATATGTTCCTGTGTATAAAGAGAGAAATAAACAAATACATTCTTCTAAAGAGTTTTCAGTTTGAGGATTATATTTACACTAGTATTTGTGTAAGCTATTTCAGAACTATGGGCAAATGACACCAAATGTAGTAAATCAGTGGTTACTCAGGGAGTGGAAATCACAGAGACGTTTCTACCTTATTTGACAAAGCTGTCAATGTTGGACACCCCCATGGTAAAAGAAGTTACTATAACCAGTCAAGCAGGTATTCATTGTATGAAAAGATGTGTGGATTTTTATGTTAAGAAACAATTTGAAGCTTTGACAGTGAGTTAGCCAGTTTGAGGCAATGCAAAGAAATGGACATGTTAAAATTAGCCGATGACAAAGGAGGGGAAGGCCAGCAGTTTAACACAGAAAAACGTTTTGAACAGTCTTCCATGTCTCTCCTGATGGCCCCAAGGTTTCTGAGATAGACTTTGTTCATTTTCAAGTCAGTAGAATGCACAAATAGACAGAACTTCAGTTCATACTGCATGGAAGGAAATTTGTAGTGTCAGATTCTTCCCCATCATATCTAAGAGAGAAAAAGGCATGAGAACAGAAAGGATTGTCTTTCTTTTTCATCTGATCATTGGACTGACTCCAGTAAACGTTGCTGTGACTCACAGAAGTTGCTTTCATGAATTCAAAAAGGAGTTATACAGATGGGATGGTAATGGTCTCTAACATTTGACTCAAGCCCTATATAGTTTGGGTTAGAAAGAATAGAGCAACCATCAGTAGCAAATAAAGGAAGACAGAAAAAAATTGTTTTAAAAGGAACTAAGTCAAATTCAAAAAAAGAACAAATCTACTTCCTTGTAGGAATAAGCTAAACAGATTAGTTTCAGGACCAGATGGAGAAGATGCAGGACCATCCTTGCTAAACATATCTTGACACTATGACAAGTATATAGATAAGGCTAAGCATAAATACATTGACCTCATTTATGATTTTAAGGCTTAAAAAAATTTAGGATCATGCCACTCATAGCCATATAATTCTGTGCTTCTAATATGTGGGGCAACATCATGACTTGTGTCTTTTTTATTTCTTTTATTTATCCTCACATTTCCTAAGAACAAAGTCCTCAACAAATGCATTGATCAATCTTATGTCCCTCAAGGACAGAGACAGAAGAGAGATGACAATTTTAATGCTTTAGAGGAAAAGGTTTTTCTGTATGTAACTGCTTCCTAAAATGTGAGCAGCAGATGTAGAATTAAGAAAAAATCTGTGGTTTCCAAGCATCTGCTGCAGAGGAGGTTTTCTTTTACTGAAGCAGATTTGACTATCTAAACATTCATGATTCTTCTTTCTTTGCCTCACTACTATTCCTGTTTCACTCAGTTACTTTCCTAAATGTTTTTGGGTTGTTGAAGGTTCAGAAAAATGAAATAAAATTGTGGGAGTGAATGCAGTGAACAACCTCAATTTTGTGACAACAGCATCCTAAGATGTTACGTTGTTTCTCTGAATAGTTTCTTAAGCCAAGTCACAAAATGGCTATATTGGCTTTGAAGATTATTATTATTATTATTATCATACTTTAAGTTCTGGGGTACATGTGCAGAATGTGCAGGTTACATAGGTATACATGTGCCATGGTGGTTTGCTGCACCCATCAACCCATCATATACATTAGGTATTTATCCTAATGCTTTCCCTCCCCTGGCCCCCACACCCTGACAGGCCCCGGTGTGTGATGTTCCCTCTCCCTTTGTCCATGGATTCTCATTGTTCAACTCCCACTTATCAGTGAGAGCATGCATTGTTTGGTTTTCTATTCTTGTGTTAGTTTGCTGAGAATGATGTTCCAGAGTCATTCAAAGTAACTTACATTCATCTGAGGCTTCTGATAGAGCCAAGATATCTGACTTTATAGGCAAGCCACTTTTTTCTGTCCAAGTCCTTCCATTTATTGTAATTGGTAAAGTGTTTTACATTACATGTCTGCTCACATGATGTCTCATCAAGGTTGGGGTATCTGTCTGCTTTGCTTTATTCATGGATGTATCCCAATTTTCTGAAACAGTACCTGGGCATTGTTGGTCTCTATAAATATTTGTTGTAGCAACGAATAAATTAGAGACTGAATGGGTGAATGAATGAATGTCTTTTATCTCTATCCATAATTATAGGTTTAAAATAATATATGTCCTAATATTACTAAAAATGAAATAAGAAACAAAGTAAAATGAGTAATTTATATTCATTATTTTCTCATTTATTTCTTACAAAATAGGCATGAAGATATTTTTCTTAATATTATCACTGGAAACATCAAGAGAGTGGTAGCTATAGAAATTTTTTCTTTTCTTAAATATTTGAAGGGAGGTCATTTAGCATCACTGACATTAGAACTCTGTCAAACTCTGACAATGAGAAGGTCTGTCAATGCTGAATCCTCATGCGGCAGGCTTATCATGATCTTTAAATAGTAACTACAATATTAATTAATTTTTTAATGCATCTAAATGATTCTTCACAGATATTGTTGACTTTTAGATTTAATAAATTATGTATTTATCAGTCCGTTTCTCCGGGAATCAAGTCTATCTACAGCTGCTCTTACAAAGAGATTGGTGACATCTAATGGTCAGAATAAATACTGCACGTGGCTAGGGGTTGGCCTGCGAAAATGACAGACTGTGCAAAGGAAATAACGTTTTTGAGAGAAAGGAAGAAGAATTTGCATGAAAGAAGTGGAGGGTGAATAGGCAGCTTATGAAATAATGGCATTTCATAAGTGGAATTGAAACGTTAACATGTTGGGTTTTGTGTCCGATAAAAACATGTTTAAATTTCCTAAAGAGTAAAGGAAAAAAAAATAGGGTTACAACTAAATTATCTATTTGAATCTTTGAGTTTTGGTACATAATATTTTATAATACAATAAAATAAGTAAATTTGATCAAATATTTCTGCATAAGCAATAACAAGAGAGAACTGAATGAGGAAAATGGCTCAGTTGTGTAAAACATTGTTATTTTGTAAATGAAAGCCACTTAAAATAAAATCATCCCTACATTTGAAATTAAATGAGCTTTGACTAGACAACAGCATTTTTTAAAATTTGTAAATACTTTGAGACATTGCAGTTATTATCAGTCCATCTGTATTTATATCAGTTATCATATTGGTTTAATGGTATTTTAGTCAAATTTGACATTTAAAAGGAGCAATCAAGTGAAATTTGCATTACTTGTAGGCAACAAGTTGAAAATTTTACTTTTCAAGCATCTAATTTAGATGTGTCTCTGTCAATATGACTTTGTAAAACTGAAAAGTATATAGAATATACATTAGAGATATTGATAATAAGGAAATAACAAGAATTAAATTTATACAATTTTAATTTGAGTAATTATGCATTTCCCATCTGAATTTAGATATATGACAATATGATGGTATAATTTATACCAAAAATGTTTTCAAATGATATCATTCTGTGTTCCTGCCCAAAACTCAACTTGAATTATAATCTCCATAATCACCATGTGTCAAGAGTGGGACCAAGTGGAGGTAATTGAATCATGGGGGAAGTTTACCCCATGCTGTTCTTGTGATAATGAGTGAGTCTCAGAGAGCTGATGGTTTTGTAGTCCTCGGCCATTTCCTCTGCTTGCACTTCTCCTTCCTGGCACCTTGTGAAGAAGGTGCCTTGCTTCCCCTTCGCCTTCTGCCATGATTGTAAATTTCCTGAGGACTCCCCAACTGTGCTGAACTGTGAGTCAATTAAACCTTTTTCCTTTATAAATTACCCAGCCTCGGGTATGTCTTTATTAGCAGCATGAGAATGGACCAATACAAATGCTTTGCTGAAAAAAAAAGGATTTTTAGACAAAAATATGCTTTGGAATAGAAGAACCTAATTGTAACATCTGAATAGGAATTATCTTACTGAGAAATTGAAATTATTTTAATTACAACACACACTTAAATGCATATTGGAAACTGGATAAAATAAACTGGATTTTCAGTGTGCTGTGATTAATAATAAAGTAACACTATAAAATACTAATTTTATAAGCATTTTTAAGGAACAGTGAAACATGTGAAAAATCTTTTAAAAATAGCAGTGTATCAGCATATATATATTATTAGCAATACATACTTACTTTCATACTATATAGAAAAATGTATCTTAAAGATATAAAAGGGGCAGTTTTAACAAAAAGGTAACATTGTGACTTTAATGTGAAGCTAAAAAGTTTATGTGTTAAAGATTTGATTTATCTTAATATAGAAGAGGGAACCAGTAAGATGTTACAACTGATATAAAAGAGAAAGCAAAGATGCATACATTTATATGCAGTAAAGCAGTGTTCAAATGAATTTGAAAATCAAGTCTTTCCACAGGGAAATAATCAAGAGTATTCTACCAACCATAAATAATTTGCATTTCTATGGACAAGAAATATTTGCATTACTATCTATTTTCTGTAAATTTATTTGTATTTTTACAGTTTTTTTAAATAGCCTAACCAGACAGTTCCACATCCCATAGGGTGCTTCAGCGTTTCATTGAAAGGACGTTCAGCACTCTATTTTACCTATTCTCAAAACTAATTTTTTCTTACAGAGAACACTTGTTAGTTTCATCACATAGAAAATAAAGATACACTAGACTCGATGATTTTCTCTCCATGTCTAGTGCTGAAAGTAATTGCACTTTACAGGCATAAAGGTAAACATGAATGAAAACTCCCTGAGGAGCTAAGAATGTAACAGAAACATCTTGAAATTGTCAAAGGAAGATTAGTTAATTTTAACTGGTAATTTTTATATAATGACTTCAGAGCTGCAGTAGCTTGCAAATAAAACTGTAGTAACTTTGACTAGACAGTAGAATCATTCAAGATGCCCCGTCCACACCCTAAACATGACATCCCAGTTCTGGGCATGGGGCACAGACATTGGGAGTTTTTGAGGCTCCCAGGGGATTCCCATATGCGGCCAGGTCAGAGCCCATTGGTGCCACGTGCCAGCTCTTGTCTTTGTCTCCCCATGTCCCTCAAGCCAAATGAAAGGCTTTGGGAAGCTTAGGAAAGATGACTGGTATATTGAGGAGCTTGAAGTTCAGAGAGTTCAGTACTTAAACCACACCTGAAAAATGTTAAAGGTGAGAGGACCAGAAAAGGGGGCCTAGAGAGGGAGAGGAGGGAAAGGTGTAGCAGAAGGCAGCTCTATGACCACTAACTGCAAGATAAAGGCACTGCCACTGCCTAAGAGCCAGGTGCTAGTCTTCTAAAATGGAGCTGTCCATCAGCTGTTTTCAAGAGATTTTATTTACTAAGAATGTCCACAGATAGAGAGCCTACGTGAGTGAAACTCATTAAAGCAAATGCTAACAAAATGAAGCCTTGCCTGGCCCAGAGAATGAGACAAAATGCCTAGTGGGGTATCTCCTAGGAGCCTGCTGAGAGACGCATTCCTTGGACTCTGTGTTAGTTGCATCGGACAGCATCAATTAAAATTACGATTATATGCTCCCGTCAAACTTGGCCTTTTTTCTTCAATCCACCAGCCACTCCAGGCCACTCCAGGCCCAAGTTTGGAGGGACTGGAAGCAGATGTCACTTACTAGGGGAGGAGAAAGGGTGTTTGGTGGAGTGAGGAAGACTGCAGAAGTAAATCGTGTTCTTCCTCCTTTCCCAAAGCTGGCTTCCAATAGGCCTAATCTGCCAAGAAAAAAAAAAATGGAAAAAATGAAAATGAAGTTTTGACAATGGGAAACTTTGGAATTCCACAAATAAGATTCATTTGATCTGCTGAAATATTAATGCAAAGACAAGAAAAATGTTTCACTGGAGCTTATTTGAAGACCCTGGAGTAGAAACAAGTAAAAGTTTCCCATAATTTTGACCTTTCTGAGTCCAACTCATTCAATAAACATGAAACTTACCTTAAGTTCCTAATTACCAGATACTATAACACTAATTGCCAAGTTTATGGGAGACAAAGATAGTTTTATGTATGTGGCTATATGGCTTGTCTATCTAAATTCCTTGAAGATAGAATACTTACATAGCTGTAATTATTATTATTGGTGTGTTGTTGTAGGCATTATTATTATAATTGTCTTAGGGCCCAGTATCACTCAAGCCTGGTACTTATAGATGTTCAAAAATATGTACTGAATAGGTGGAGAAATAAGAAAATATGGAAACATGAATCAGATCCATTGGCACATTGCTTTTTTATTATGAAGCAGTATGACACATACTTTGTTGTTTATATATTTTTGCTAATTAAAAGTATGAAGGCCTTGTTTTCTACCCCTCCCTCTAGGTCTTTTATTTTTTTTCCTTTCCTAACCCTTATATTGTTCACTTCTTTTAATACATGAACACACACACACACACACACACACACACACACACACACAGCACAAATGATCAGAAACTGGTGTACCCAAGGCTTAGCGGATGGAGCGTAACTTGTCTTTCTTCCTCCTGCTGTTTTCTTGAGCATGACCTCCCTCCATACCCTACACCATTACTCATTTTCCCCATCCCAAGTAAGGGGTGTGCCCCTCCACTGGTTGGTAGGCTTGGTATTCTGGGGAGGAGAAATAACAGCAGGGTTTGTGACCCAGTCTATCACTGCTGATGGAAAAGCTGTCTAAATCTGGCATTTCAAACTCAAAACCCTTACTATCTGCATGTATAATCTACACTCTCCAGTACCAATCTTATCAGAAATGAATGTACTAATGTGATCTCCAAGTGCCTTACACTTATTCCTATTATTAACTTGCCCCATAGTTAGGTCATTGTGTTCCTTTTTAAATTCTTATATTTATCTTTACCTTCCTTCTTATCTAATGGGTCAAACCTTGCAGTTCGCTTCCTGAATTTTTTTGTTTGTTTTCTCATGCTTTCCTTCTTCTCTACATACTACTAAAAAACCATTAGTTGTTATTCTGCTACATATAATTTCTCAATTTTAATGTAAATATAACCTTTGATGCCAGCCCCTACTAATGTCTAGCCTGTTGTTCAACCTGTGCTATAAAATAATAAGATCGGAATTATACTTTCAGAAGACAGATTCTAATTATGTTACTTTTTGCTGAAAATCTCTCAGGACTACTGGTTGCTTTTAGGAAAAACAATAACTTTTCAGGTCCTTCCCAGGCTGAATTAACCTTCGTTTCTAGGTTTCTGCCTTGGTTCATTCTCTCTACACTGGCTAATCCTAGCCCAGCAAGGCACAATCTGTCTTGCCTCATCTCTCACATTCTGTCTGCATTTGTCAGTCTTTGTCGAACTAATCATATAGTTCAAATATATCATACTTTTTAAACAAATACTCATTTCAACCACACATCCAACTTGGCATTTCATGTGATGATTAATTTCATGTCAGAACTTTGCTAAGTTACCTAGTTATTTAAACACTAATTGAGGTGTTACTGTGAAGATATTTTACAGATATAGTTAACATCCATTATCAGTTGACTTTAAGTAAAGGAGATTTTCTTCAATAATGTGGGTGGCTTTATCCAATCAGTTCAAGTTATAAGGGCAAAAATAGAGGTTTCCTGACAAGAAAGAAAATTGGCCTGAAAACTGCAGAATCAACTCCTGCCTGAGTTTTCAGCCTCCTGGCTTACCCTATAGATTTCAGACTTGCCAGTGTCATAATCACATGAGCCAATTCAATAAAATCTCTCTCCCATCTCTCTCTCTTTGTATGGGTATGTATATATGTATATATACACTGTATGTATGTGTGTATATATGTGTATAAAATACAGGATACATATGACTTGTAGATATATTTCTGTAAAAACCATGTTTGATACAATCAGTTCTTCTCTGTGTTCCTGAAAATTGTTGCCTGCTCCTCAGTTAAATCATCTATTATTCCTGCCTAAATTTTGTCACTCTCTTGACTTTCACCCTTATTGGATATAAACTATTTAATATCCTCTCACAGTGCTTTGCATGTAGAAGATGAATAGCAAATATTCCATTGAAGAGAAAAGCAAAAGGATTCAGTCATTCCGTCTCAGGTTTTTCACGTCAAAAGCCCCTTTCAGTGTGGATTTCTTATAAAGTATTGATAGTGTCTATGCCATCTTAGGAGACTGAAAATGAAAGCAATAATGCCTTAGTGTATGTTGAGGACTTACTCTGTTTGACAGAGTTTGTAGTCCTTTCTGGCATCAAAAGGACCAATATGAAACACTGAGAATCTATACTTTCAAAGTATGAAACAGGGCTGGGTGTGGTGTGTCACACCTGTAAACCCAGCATTTTGGGAGACTGAGGCAGGAAGGTCACTTGGGCCCAGGAGTTTGAGACCAGTCTGGGAAACACAGTGAGACTCCTATCTCTCCAAAAATGAAAATATTAGCTGGGTATGGTGGTGCATACCTGTAGTCCCACTACAGGGACTACTTGGGAGGCTGAGGTGGGAGGCTCGCTTGTGCTCAGGAGGTCAGGGCTGCCATAAGCTGTGATCATTTCACTGCACTCCAGCGTGGTTGACAGCAAGACCCTGTCTCAGAGCAAAACACAACAACAACAACAAAACCCCACAACATATGAAATAATGTCTCTAGTCTTCTGATTAATATATGTATAATATTTTATATATGTGTGATTAATGTTAAAAATAAATTAATTTATAAAATAAGCTATGCTAATGAAAGTAGGATTTTGATTCTGCACAAAACATATGAAGTTACTGAAGGAAAATTTGTGAATTAAGCACCCGGACAGAAACTTGTTTACTTTTACATATTATGTGAACTCTCTTTTTCTTTCCCAGAAGATACACGTATATCATTTCTCCAAAATTTCCTAAAATCCCAAAATGATCACAAGAAAGAAATGTAAATGTAAAAGTATTTAATTAAAAAAAATTGTGATGATTATTGTAATGGCTTAAATATGTGGGGACTCAGAATACAACTAACCTAAAATGAAGACCTCAGAACCAATAGTTTTTCTTTGACCTTCTTCTGTCCTCCTGTCTCTCTGTCCCATTCTTCTCCAAGATGAGCCATAGAAACTAGAATCCATCTTCCCTAAGATGAATCATAGAAACCAGAACCTGACCAGGCTTGGTGGCTCATGTCTGTAATCCTAGCACTTTGGGAGGCCAAGGCCGGCAGATCACATGAGGTCAGGAGTTTGAGGTCAGTCTGGCCAACATGGTAAAATCCCATATCTACTAAAAATACAAAAATTAGCCCAGTGTTGTGGCACACGCCTATAATCCCAGCTTCTTGGGAGGCTAAGGCTCAAGAATTGCTTGAACCCAGGAGGTGGAGGCTGCAATAAGTAGAGATCAGGCCACTGCACTCCAGCTTGGGTGACAGAGTGAGACTCTGTCTCAAAAACAGACAAAAAAGAAACCAGCACCCTTTTTCCCCAAAGCCAGCCATAAAACCTAAAACTATTATTCAAAATTTACCTCTGCCTTTTTGTGCAAAAACTGACAATAAAGAAATTACCTGACCTACCTTGCTTGCCTGTGCCCCATGCCCAGAATTGGGATGTCATGTTTAGGGTGTGGACCGGGCATCTTGAATGATTCTACTGTCTAGTCAAAGTTAACAACTGCTGCCTTCAAGGCATTCTTCCTATTGACATGCCCAAGAATATTTTTTCTTCAGATAATCTGGAGTGGCTACTGTCTCATGTGTGGCAGACTGGTTTTGGATCACCCTTGGGCAAACCTCTCCTTAGTGGCTGACAGCCTTTCTAAGTGTAAGGAGTTTGATATCTTTTATTCT
Organism: Homo sapiens; assembly: GCF_000001405.40. NCBI lineage: Eukaryota > Metazoa > Chordata > Mammalia > Primates > Hominidae > Homo > Homo sapiens. The sequence goes on along the minus strand of NC_000005.10, from coordinate 21,912,459 downwards.
CAGCTTTAGACTTCAGTCTTTCTCTCCCAAGAAAGCAGGAGTTCCATTTAAAATCTCATTATGTAAGGACTTTTTGAAGTGACCTGACTGAATGTAAAGGCGATGGGTAAGATTAAGAGTTATGTAAGTCCCTTGGAAAAAAAAAAAAAGTTGCTTAACAATTTTCCAGTCCATTTCCATTCTGTTTCTCATTTTGTTTTCATTCAGAAAGCACACTATGTTTCTGGTTTTAAATATCATATTCATTTTACCTGCTATTTACTAAGATCAAAAGTGTCAAAACTGGCCATCCCAAAATCACATAGTTTGTTTCTTAATTTTCTCTTAGAACATCTAGAAACTAATTTTAAAAACTATTAGAAATAGTCTTTCTCTCTTTTTCTCTTCTGATTTTTACAGTGAGAACTGTAAAACACACAAACAAACCAAAAAGACTGTCCTAACTTGTTTCTCTTTATAAGCTTCCAAGTTTCCTCAGGCAATAGTTTGTCATGATTTTGAAATTGGAATACTTAAAGTTGTTCAACTTACATAATATAACCATCACATTCCAAACAAATCTAATACAATCACAAATGTTATAAACTTTTTAATGGGAAAACAAAAAAAATTAAAGTTGAATTAAGCTTAAAAATAAAATTTGAATGTACTACACATGAGAATTAACTTTTGATGAATTAAACAGCATTTTATATAAAAATAATTTGACTCCCATTTTTCAAGCTGTGAAAACTAAAGCACAAACACATACATGTATTCCTCAAGAAATACAATTATAACTGCATGTTTATAATAAACCATGTCAAGGTTAAAATGTCGTGCATCCTTAGTTCATATATTTCAATAATATTTTATGAATTCTTATAAGGAAACTCACAGAGAATATAAGCTATATATGACTTTAATCATGTTTAATTATCCATCTACATCTCATAAAATATACTTCATGTATAGTATCTTCTTCATAATAGTAAATAAAAACCATTATCAATAATATTGTAGTATTATTTCATATAATAGCCCTTCACTTTTTAGTCCTCTAACTAAACCTTAAGTAAAAGCCATCAATAATAAAAAATAAAAGTAAAAATGATCAATAATGGTAAGAATTCTAGTAAATTCTTAAAAATAAGTAATGAGTCTGACTTCTAATTTATAGTCTGAGAATGATTTTATTTTTATAGGCTGTATTGGGATTTGTTACTTCTATATACCACAATTTAGTTTATGACTTTAATGAGAAGCTCAGTGTTTCTCTAAGAACTTGTTAAGCTTAGATAAATAACGTAATGGCCATCAATGAAGAGAAACAGCCACTATCTCTGTCTGGGGACTTTTTAAGAAAGTACATTTAATGCTTTCATTGGGGAAGACAGACCATATGTTATTTTTATCTCTTGTAAATTAACTTTGCAAAATAATTTCTTTGAAACACTACAAGGCTTATTATTAGGCAGTTTCACTTAACAAGGCTAAGGCCTTTAAAAACATCACTAGAGAGCATTTTTATTCCAGAGACAGAAATTGCTAATTGGATTTGTATTGTTGAGTCCTCTAGCTCCCTTACCCTCTGGGATCTGAGTTATTGAGTCCTCTGGAAGAGCAAACACTTGAGGACTATTAATGGCTTCTTCCTAGCACAGAAGAGGGGATGGCTTTTGTTGTAGATAAACCTTAGTGAGTGGTTTATGGAATGAGGTTTCTTGGTGTGGTGGAATCTGTGTTTTGGCCTGCCCAGCATCCCAGCATTCTCTACTGATTCTTTTGATTAAAAAAAAAAAAAGATAAATCCTACCTTTCTCTTGGAAAATACCTCTCCTTCACATGTTCCCACTTCTTTTGCTGTAGGTCACAGTAGCATCAGCTCCTCAGGTAAAGCAGATTTGGCCAACCCACTGCAAATTCAGGGACGCCATGAGACCCATGCCAAACCATTTCTGGTCAATGAGTTCCAATTATAGGACATACATTTGCACGATCTTGCAAGAAAGGGACAGTTTCTTTCTTTTACAGTGGCTGGGAGAAAACATGTAAAACTGAATTTTCTGGCAGGTGCGGCGTCACTGTCTAAGAAATGAGGCACCACACATGAAAACAGAGCTCTGAGATCAAAAGCATGGGTCCCGATGACATCCTTGGAGCTTCTGAATTTGATGTTCTTGATGCCAGGCTGTTGCTGACTTTTTTGTTATGTGAGTCAATAAAGTCCCTTTTCCCCTTAAGGCAATTTGAGTTGATTTTCTATCACTTGTAGCCAGAAGATTTCTGAATAATGCATGTGGGATGCTCTGTTTGCAAATACATACACATTTTCCACATGGCAACTCATTTAGATAAGTGGTGGCCTGAGTGCTAAATGGGGAATGACTGCTAAGCAAACTCCTGTAGATAGTAGAATAGTTGAGAAGCATAGATGTTTCTCAACTGGAACCCTCTAGTTCTGTGTCAAAAACAGCTATTTTCTCTCCGTGACCAAAGGAAATTTCAATATGACCTCCATAGCATTTGGAATTCCATGCCAGTCAACTAGCTCTTGAAATGGATGGGTTACAGGTACAGATATTTAAGATATTGGTTTGTAGGTTTCAGTCTATGATGATGTTATAATCAATGAGTGACAAAATGCAAAAATATCAGGACAAAGCCATGTCTTTTTTTCATATAGTTAAATTGTCCTTCATTCTGAAATTATCTCTTGCCAGTTTTTGGGTTTACACATGTCTCTCTAAGGAGGCGAACCTAAAATTGTGGTAGATTTTTATGATGTTTATTTTGCATCATTAATTGTCCTTATTTCTGAAAATAGAGTATTGAAATGCATATTACTGGCCCCAAATTTTATTAGTATTTCTGTTATCATCACTGTTATGTAGAAGGTGAAATGTAGTTGGTTTGAGAAATTCGGAGTTGTGAGAACCAGTACTTTATTGTACCTGCCTATTCATTTTTTTAATCCTAATTGTAATATGTGACAACTCGTTACATTTCTCACTAATGAACAATGCAAAATTTTGTGCCAAATAAAAAGTTCATAAAATTATCATTTTCTGTTTTCTTGGAGATAGTTCAGATTTACCTTCATGCATCTCAGCAGAGGCTGCTGGCAAGGGTTTGAGGTAGCCCCTGGCCTAGTGCATGTCCTATGGGGCATTAAAACAAAAGGGGTAAAAAACAAGCATAATTATGATACAGTCACAGAGGTATTAATGAAGGCTTCAATGTTGTTAATAATCATTACTGGAGGTGCCACAACTCCCAGATTTGGTAGATGAACACAGGAACAGAAGACATTGGAATCATGGCATAAAGGCTTCTCTAGAAGCTTGGGCTGTGGGATGTGCAGACAGGTGCAGTCTAAATTATTAAACAATGGAAGAGGAACTTTTCTTTAATGTTTTTGTTTGGTTTATTTGTTATAAGAATAGAATTCAAAAAACAGACAGAAGCCAAGGAAAAAAAGATAATTCTCAAATACTGAGCTCCAGAATACCATTAAATCAGAGAGAAATCCTGGGGAAATCCAAATAAATAATTTTTTTTTTACACTCTCATGCGTACCCTGCTATCAAGTTGGGGAAGATCTCACAAGCATTCACATTAAGTGAGCAAACAACCAGCCAACACCAAAATCTGATTCCAAAAGTCTGAAGAACAATAATTGCCTTTTCTGGGGAATTGTCAGTGACAGAGGAGAGGGCAGAGTGACACTGTATTGAAGATGAGCACGCCTTCCCACTTTTGTGCCCTTTTGTATGTGACATTGCAACTTCTCCTGCTGCACCCAGAAGTGCCTCTCTGCTTTCTGATGTGGGGTTTGATGATGTGACTTGCTTTGGTCAATGAGATATTAAGAGATATGACCCAAACAGGCTTGAAATATGTGTGTTCAGTGCATTTTTCTTTTTATGTCTGTAAAGGCCTTGGAGAGAGCTTCTGGAGAAAATAAAGATATTTATTATCAACATCAACCCCAGAATGAAGACAAATGGATGAGATCTTGGCCCAACCCATGCAGGGCAGCCAAGCACAGCTGGACTCACAGATTGAAACATAGCTCCGCAAAAGAGCCCAGTTTAAGTCAGCAGGACCCAGAGCATGAGAATAATTGCCTATTCTAGTTTTTAAAACGAGTTTGGATGTATTTGTTACATAACATTGTCCTCACGATTGCAGTTACAATTGCTGTCACAGAACTTCCTAAGAATTCCCTTTAAACTCAGTTTCTCTCCAAATTCCCAATTGCTCTGGCAGCCACACTAATCATTCTTCTCTTTCCCTATTGTCCCAGCTATAATTCTACTGTTAACAAACTACCTCTTTATTCAGTAAAATAACTGAGAAGCCTCTTAGCTTTGCAGACTTTTATCACTACCTTTCCTCAACCTAAATACCATAAAGGCCACCATCAGAGCGGCACAAAGAAATTGTCCATTTTCTCAACAGGTCAGGGTATGGGATAGGTAATAGTTACAGCTTTCACATAGCTGGATCAGTTGCAATGTACTGGGCATTCTTCTGAGCTGAAGGCATGTATAAACTCCCTCAAATATCAGAACATCCCAATTATTATGTCCATTTTAAAACAGAAAATTGAGGTACAGTGAGGAGGTGACATCATTCTGCGTATTCAGTGTATCGGGGTAGACCAAGTCTGGGCAGATAATCTTTCATTTTATTTAAGGGAGAGACACTGGATTCTGCTACTAAAATGTAAAAATGAAATTCCAAGCCAGGTAGAGCAGCAGAAGTTTTATCCTGAATCCTATTTCTACCAATATCCTGCCCTAGGGCTGGCTCTAGGATTTTGGTAAGGATGCAAGCAACTGGGTATTCTTTGCTTAGCTCCCGGGGTAGAGCTGGGACAGGAACTCCCAGACACAGACTAATCATATTTTACTTTCAACTTCAAATTGGTTGTGGCAATCATATGCTTTTCTAAAACTGTTTCCATCGGGCTTCCATGGCATGATACAGATTATCCCTGTGCCCACCTGCAAGGCCCTCCCTTTGCCAACATAGGAGCAAATTGTATTTTATGTGCTTGCTTTGCAGTTTCACAGATAGTCCCCACTTAAATCCTACCCACTGCTCTTAAGGTTAGTGAGAAAATTATCCCCCATTCTCCTTTCCTTTCCCAACTGGGTCGCTGGCTTTGTGCTGCTGCCCACTCCCCGTACACACACAGGAGGTCTTTGGCAGAAAGCTTCTCAGTTTAACTCTTCCCTATTTGGGCGTATTTTTTAAACCCCTCTTTCCCGTTACGATGTTCTAATTGGCAGCAGCATTGCAGACCTGTAGCACCCCAGGTTTTCTAATGCATGCGGGGATGTTGCTGGAGTTTATATGAGCAGTCTCCCCGGCACATAACAGTATTGCAGTAGCTTGTATTTCTATTAAGACTGAGGCTGTCTTTTGTAACAGCCGGTTTAGCGCAGTCGCTGCTGCTTTTCACAGGAGCTGGGCTCTACCAAGACAGAACTATTGCCTGGGCGCAGTGGCTCAGGCCTGTAATCCCAGCACTTTGGAAGGCTGAGGAGGGAGGATATTCTGAGGCCAGGAGCTCAAGACCAGCCTGGGCAACAAAGAGAGACTTCGTCTCTACATGTAAATAAATAAATAAACTAAAAAAACACTGATTTCTTACTTCATATTTGTGAGTAAAGGCAGAAGGCAGCTGGAGAGGGCAGGGTATCAGAAAACTGACTGTAGCTCAGGAATGTTGCATCCAGGGTGGAAAAACATGGCTGGATGTATCTACAGACTCACAAACGGTGACAGGTCCCAAAGTTCCAATAAAGTTGCCTAAATTCGGATTTTTTTAAAGAAAACAACTACAACAAAAATTAATATCTCCTTTTGGGAGTTGAAAAGAAAGCAAAGATCATTTGAAGGATTATATTCAGTAAATCATGCAAGACAGCAGTGTCAGAAAGTGACTCAACTGTGATTATTATTCAGCACCTCCTAACAGCTTTTCCTTCCCTTAAGAGTAATGTGGCAAGAGGAATTTCGGAGTTGTCTAGATATTTCTTTTCAGTACCTATTTGCTATACTGCAGCTAATAAGGTGTTGCTATATTCTAAAGTATGTGTCAAATCTCAGTATATCAGATCTAGAACATTGCAAATTTCATTCTTACTAAAGCTATAAAAACAAAAGTCTGCTCAATGAATACATATGTCCAGAACCCTAAAAGAAATGACTGAAGTCATGAAAACCCCTGACCTGTCTGCTTCAAGTAATTGTATTCACATTTGGAAAATATCCTATTTCAAGAAACTAATCTATTCTTGACCACCGTCAAACCTAAAGCTACCTAAAATATCCATCTTTAAAAATAATTTAGATATTAATTAATGGTTAGGAAGTAAAATAACTTTATAAATATAAATATGTACTTATAGTAACATATTATGGATTTATTTTAATCTGTTATTTCTATTGTCTTTCTCCTTTATATTCTTCCTTCTTTTCTTCTAAATATAAGTATTGAGCACTTACTATTAACCAGACATTGTTCTAGACACCATGAATTTAGAAACAAACAGAAGAAAGTTATTGCTATTGTATGTCAGCATCTGTCAGAAAAATACTGACAATAAACATATGTTCAAATAAATGCAAATCACATCCAGTATTTTCAGTGCAATAAGGAGAAATAAAGCAGTGAAAGGGGAGAGGGAAAAAGAGCAACAATAGATACTTTAAACATAGTAATTGATGAGGTCTCTCTGCCGAGATGGTAATTGACTCAAAACTAGAATGAATGAGACAATTGCGATATCTGTGAGAACTTTCTAGTCCAGGAAAACAAAAAACACAGACTGTAAGGAGAGTTGTTTGACTGGAATTGGGAGTCTGAGAGAGAGTGATCGGGTAAGGGACTCAATAGGTGGCCAGAGCCTGGTAATTGTAGTCTGTTGCAAAAGTTCTAAAACCTGGAGTTAGAAAATTATAGGGCAGATGTGCTTTCACATTTTCCAATGTATCACTGAGGAAAAGACAAACTGCAAAGACAGTCATTTTTGCCTGTTTTACTCACTGCTGTATTTCCAGTGCCCAAGAGTCTGCTTAGCAAGCATCCAATCAAAAGTTCGTGCTAAAATTAAGGTATCGTCACAATTGGAGGGATTCTCCCAAATCTTTGTAATTTTAAAATTTAGTTAGTTTTTATCTTGTTTTGTCATTTCTGTGTTTTATAGTTTGAGTTTTAAAAACACAACTTTGAGTCCAACAGTTGATAAGGCTACAAAACAAAGCCATCCCCTATAAAAGCTCTCTGCTCTCTTCCTGCTTCACCGCACACATTTCCTGTGCTCTACGGCACCCACTTAAACCTATTTTTGATACCTTTTTCTATTTACCATCTATCCCTAAAGGACAAATTGTGATTGACATCCAAAGTACACATTGCAATGGCTATGCAAATGCTTTTATAGCTGAGCCATGTGATTTTCTTTCCTGTACATCACCTTGGTTTCCCTCAGTTTAATAAATTTTGAACTTTATGGTTATTTGGGGGGACTTTTCTATGTCCTTAGTGTTAATACATCTGCAATTTCACCCTGCAGTGGTATAAACCACATCTCAATATGTTAGCTATTTTCTCAATTTTATAGTCTGTTTTTCCTTTTCCTTTTCCTTTTTCTTTCTTTCTGTTTTTTGTTTGTTTGTTTGTTTTTAGAGACACTGTCATGCTTTGGTTCAGGCTGGAGTATAGTGGTGCAATCATAACTCATTGCAGGCTGAACTCTTGGGCTCAAGCAATCCTTTTGTCTCAGCCTCCCAAGTAGCTAGGACTACAGGCACATGCCACCTTGCTTGGCTAATTTTTTATTTTTATTTATTTATTTTGTAGAGACAGGGACTCTCTATGTTACTCGGGCTGGTCTTGAACTCCTGGCCTCAAGTGATCCTCTCATCCAAGCCTCTCAAAGTGCTGGGATTACAGACATCATGAGCTACTACGCCAGCCCAATTTTATAGTCTTAAAGAAATCTTCCTTAGCCTTATCTAACTAGCTTCAGTCTGGTTTGATTACTCTCAAGAATTCCAAAATCCAGTGGTGATATTTTGATAATCATCCCATTATTATTCCTTCCACATGTCTCTTGTGTTCTCTCCCCTTTTTCCTATAACTTCTGATTTTCTTCTGCATTCACTTCCTCGTTTTGGTGGAGCATATCTCACTAATTATTTCCTGCAACAGGATGCATGGTAGGTAAACTTTTTGAGATCCTGTGTTATACAATGAAAAAGAACCCAAACACCACCAGTGAAACATTTTTACACGGGGAAAAATGTAACATGAAGTTTATTAGCAGAATTTAGGGCAGGAAATCAGCAATGCAGACAGTAGTTATAATTGCCTAATAGAGAAAGAGAAGAGACTACAGAGGCAGATCCCTGATGGTTGGAAATTATCAGTCTTGAATATTGCTGCATGTCTATTTTCATCCATCATGCAGGACACTTAGCAAGACATTTTAATCTGGAAATCCATGTCTTTTTTTCTAAGGAATAAATTGGGAATGATGTCGTTGATGGCTTTTTTTGTGTCTCATTTTCTGTTCCTTTTCTGGAACTACTATTCAGATACTTTTCTTTGAGTTTTCTTATCTTTTGGCTCCTACTTTCCATCTATTTGTGTTCTTACCTTACCTTCTTGAAGATTTTCTCACTGTATCTTTTGACTTCTATTGTTCATTTGTGTTTTTATTTGTTTTGTTTTTATTTTTCTCTCGGCTGATCCAACTATCCAGAAAAGACTTCTATTTTATGACACTGTTATATAAACCTGGCTGTTGGAGTTCTAGGCACCAAATAGGGGAAACCGGTACAGGTTTAACTTTTAGAAAGTAAATTTCTCTTAATTCTGTTTTCAGAATTAAGATGAGACCTGTCTGACAGCTAAGGCTGGTGTCCAAGACACTCTTTTCCCCCTTTAAGATAACGAACCCTTAGCCTTCTTCTGAAGCATATGTAGGCAATAAGGGGTAAGGGCAGGAAGGGAGTTGAAGACAGTCCCCTAGCTGAGTAGACTGAGAGAAGAACTGTTGGGATCTATTTGCATGCTTCTTACGTACGTTTTTCAAACGTACTTACAATCTCTTCTTTAGCACTATTTTCACAGGGAGCTAAGTATCACCAACCTTGTTTCTCATAAAGCATCTGCAGCACAAATTCTAGTAACTCTCCAATTTCCCTACTATTGCTGTGTAGAATTCAACATTTGGGGCACACTGTTAATTACCACTTATTTTTCTGCTTCCCAGAATTTAAAATGTTGTCGTTATTGTTTCTTCCAAGTCTCATTTTAATTTTTATTTATTTAATTGTATTTATTTTTATCATTATTTTAATGGGATATGAAGGAGAGCAGCACCTAATGGTTGTTTTCATTTTCTTAACTCTAAGTAGCAGCCTTGGCCATTTATTATTTTGAAATATTATCATTAGCGTCTTAACTCATTTGTAAATTGTAAAATTTATGACATAATAATTTGAATGCGCAGTCTTATTTTCCTAATGTTTTCATGGGCTCAATTCTTCGTCTTATCATTCTTCCATTTATGCAACATCTTTAAATCAGCATACAAGTGTTCCCCAATGTTTAGCTGTTGTTACCCATATCTAATAGAGTCATACTCTCCAACATAATAGCCATTGGCTACATTGACTAATTAAAAATAAATTTTAAAAAAAATTGAACAAAATTAAAGTTTAGTTTCTTATTTATATTAGTCTCTTTTAAAGTGATAAATAGCCACATGTGGTTATTGTTCAGAGCAGATAGAGAACATTTCTGTCACTGCAAAAAGTTCTATTAGCACTCATTTAGAATTAAGTAATGCTGGGTTACCTAGTGAGAAACATATTTTCTTTTTCAATTCTCTTTTAACTCTTTCTGATTATATGGAAGACAGAGCTTCTCAGATATAATGGACATATGAATCACTTGGGTACTTGTTAAACCATGGATTCTGCATTAAGTCTGTTATGGGGCCTGAGATTCTGCATTTCTCAAAAACTCTCTGCATGGTACTTAATCCACTGGCTCTGGAAACATACTTAGAGTAGCAAAGATCTGAAAGAGAGACAGTGAGTGAGACAGAGAGAAAGAGAAATAGCGAGGGAGATATATATATATACACATATATACATATATACATATAATACATATGTAATATATATACTTATATTATACATATATGTAGAGAGAGAGAGAGCACCTCAATTTGGTTTACTAGTAACAATTTACCTTTGTTTATCACTTGCAAGTCTCCCTTCATAATCAAGAGGCAACATATCTCTAAGATAGATCCTACAGAAGGCAGCAGAATAAAGATAGAATTGAATAATATTGCTTTGCGTATAGTGCATAATTTTGAAAGATTCCATCCAGTGATATCTTCATCTGTTCACTTGCTTATTCAACAATGTTTCCTAAGTGAGCAGTACATGACGATTATTATTGTAATCTCTGCACGTACAGTGGCTAGCAGAACAAGAATATATCCCTTTTATCATAGAGTATCTGTTATACAATAAAGTCATAATTATAACACAGCAAATTATATACAGTTGGAGCAAAACTTGTGAAGGAAATAATTGAATGACTGATGTTTGGAAAACCTCATGATGGATATAAACCACTGCTGGATGATGATGTTGTTTGTCAAGCCTGGATCAGGTGCAAGCAGATCATAGTGAGGGAGAACACCTGGTTGCTTGGGAGTTCAAAGTGGTTGGAAAATCATATGTGGAGGTGGCTGGTTGAAATGAATCTGGAGGGTTGATAAAGCCAGTATCCAGAGAGATGTGGCGGTGGTTGTTTGCCAAAATGTGATGGGCGAATCAGGAATTTTATTATGCAGGTATGAAATCAGAAAGCATTGAAGCAGTAGTTCCAGTGACATAAATAAAAGGAAATTGAGATGTCACTTCTAAAGTCAGTTGGGAAAGAATGTCATAGAAGTAGAACAGTTCCAACAAGTTTTTGAAAAAAGATATTTGAAAATTATGAACTCAAAGCTATTTACCTGGGTTTGAATGGCTGAAGTTTTACATGGGATCTTATTATGTGTAACATGGACCTATGCCAGTTAGAAATCAGCCATAATTGAACATAATTATCAGAGGTGCACTTAACTTTTTTTGTTCACTCTCAGGATTGGAATTAGACTATAATAATATGACTTATAAGTTCTAGGCATACAAAAACATGTTTTTTTCAATATTGAACTTTATATGTTGACCTTAGAAAATCCCCAAAATTTTCTTGAACATGACTCAACTTATATTTTACAATGGAAAATGTGCAATGTGTACTATAAAATGTATCACTTCACTAAGGGTTTAGAGAAAACCCTGAAGAAATATGAGCAATCTCTTCTCTGGCTGAATTTAAATCAAACGTTTAAATTCATTTATATTATTTCACAATATTTACTGAGCAACTGTTCTGTGCCAGAAATGCGGCATGGCAGAAACAACAATGAGAAAGAATAGCCTGGACTTTTGTTTGCAGTGTGGCATGTGCTATGTGGGCTGTGATGCTCACTTCTTTTCTCAAGGATTTATCATCTTTATTTAGGCAGAGGTTTTAAAGATGACTGTATGATTCTGTAGCCCATCGTCATTCTGAGCATTCGCTATCAAAGTTCCTTTTCTCATTGCATTAATTCTGCAGAGTCTTCAGCACTCTCTTGAATTGTGCTGCAATTGTGGTGGGCATTGGCTGGCGGAGTCGGGGACCGATTTTAAACTTGTTATTGAAATATGTGTTTTCTGTTCAAAGTCCAAATCAGAAATGGGCCACCCTTAGTGAAAAAAGATAAATACCATGACATTTCTAGTGTAATATCCAGCATTTGGTTGTTACGGTGGCAGAGCTCCCAGGTCACTACCAGTTTTTTAATGAATTGGCATGGTTTGTTTTTACACATAGTAAGTATAACAGCATTTTGTACAGCTATAGCTAATATAACATGATATAAGATGATGTGATATAACCTTTGGCATTTTAATTATTTAGAATAGCTATTAAATATACTACATACCTGTCATATATAGATTGTATTATTATTCACTAATAACTGGTTATCGTTAGAATAATAACGTATTGTTTACTTGAATAGCCAGTTTATAGTGTTTGCTTTGTACTTCATTTCTTCCTTCCTTTCTTTATTGCCTCCCTCCTGCCTTCCACAGGAATTGAGGCACATATTATTTCCTGTGATAGCTACCACAAGACATGGATATATGCTCTGGGATTCATGAATGTATACTTTAGAGAGCTAGTGCCAAAAGTGATGCTTGTAAATAGCATATATTGAAGATCCAAATTATTCAATGTTAATATCAAAATTAACTTTTATTAAGTCTTTAAAATGGTCTGTAAGTACCTGTAACTATCTATGTATCTAGCTAGATATATAAAATCTGTGGATTTGTATATATAAATTCCATATAGATATATGAATAAAATGTTCAATAATAACTTGAGGATTATAAAATTTCAAGCACATTTTCTAGTCTTGATTTTCTCATCTTTATAATGGAAATTATATAGTGATTATTGTAAGAACAAAATGAATTCTATCACAAGTATTAAAATTATATAATAAACACACAGCATTTAGTATGGTTCATATATTATAGTTAATATTCAAAAAAGCTAGAAGAATGTTATTATTATATTAATAATTGTTATTACTAATAAGAGCTTTTTAAAACAAACCTTTTAAATAACTTTCTCAATCGTTATAGGTTAATCCTCTATACATTTCTTTATAAATATCTTTGCCAAGACAATTTGAATGCCATGCCTCAAATGCCTCTGAAAACTGATTGCTTTGCCATTAGATGACCTCAAATATTTCATACCTTTTAAATTGTAAATGAGTTTAAATTTTGAGATTTCTCCTTCTCTCCTAAAGAGCCCACAGCCTTGATTTTATCCCAAGCACAAATATACTTGAAAGTTTGTAGCTTTAGCCTCGTTCCTAGCAAACTCCTCAACTAGGGTCTTGATTTAACATGTCCATGACATGCTTTCACTGAATTGTATCAAGTATCTATTTTCTAAAATGGCCTTATACTAGGTTCTCTGAGTATTATGAGGAATGCAAGGTAAATCAGACTGCCCTTGCCTTCAAGAGATCTATAAAACCAGGAATAAAGCTAATGTGTACATAAAGATTTGTAATGCAAGGTGGCATGCAATAAATACTTTAAGCAGAAACTGTTCTGAAAGCATCAGAGAGAAGAAAATTAATTCTAGCTAGAAAGATCACAGATAACTCCATGGTATTTATGATTGTTAAATTTAGATGTTAAGGATGGGTAATTTACAGCAAATACAGAAAAGGTAGGAGGGAACAACCCCCAGGTGGGAAGGAGAGTAAGAACTAAATCACAGAGGTGGAAAGACCATATTGGCGAGGTGAAAAGTAAAGTTTTCCTGGAAAGCAGGAGAAATTGTGTGAGATAGACTAAAACAGAGTTTCGGGCCATGAAGATCTGCCTTTTCCCTCATAAATTCCTTCTCTTAGATCAACTCATTTTTGTTTTAACTTCCATGATAAAATTCAAGCGATACAGACCAGATTTCCTCTCCTTTCTTCATGATTACATCTCTCCATTCAGCTTGACTCCTTTCTGAATCTATCTCAAACTTTTTTCATAACTTTTACAATTGTCTCTTCTCAAATATACTTTATTTTATTTATTTATATATTTATTTACTTATTTTTTTGAGATGGAGTCTCGCTCTGTTGCCAGGCTGAAGAGCAGTGGCGCGATCTCAGCTCATTTCAACCTCAGCCTCCCAAGTTCACGCCATTCTCCTGCCTCAGCCTCCCGAGTAGCTGGGACTATAGGCGCCCGCCACCACGCCCAGCTAATTTTTTGTATTTTTAGTAGAGACGGGGTTTCACCGTGTCAGCCAGGATGGTCTCGATCTCCTGACCTCCTGATCCGCCCGCCTCAGCCTCCCAAAGTGCTGGGATTACAGCCGTGAGCCACCGCGCCTGGCCTTTCTCAAATAGATTTTTTAAAAGAAATTTTAGGTTGAGTGCAGCGGTACATGCCTGCAATCCCAGCACTTTGGGAGGCCAAGGCAGGGGAATCACTTGAGACCAGGAGTTTGAGGATGCTATGACATATGAGATCACACCACTACACTCCATCCTGGTCTCACAGAGTGAGACCCTGTCTCTAAAAATAAAATAAAATATTAAAAAGAAAAACAGAAAAAAAATTTAATGTATACTAAAAGGCCCTACATATAGATTTTTCCTATAATTTATTCCTAAAGTAAGCCAAGTTTTTTATTTATTCTGGTGATTTCAGCAGTTGTTTAATATTCAAGAAAGTACTTTTACTACATAAGGTCATGCCTGTCATTAAGAAAGAACATGTCAATTTTATGATGACTTTAATAAAAATATCAGAAATATTAAGTGGCATATAACCTACTCAATTTAAATAAAAATATCAGAACATTAAATGGCATATAACCTATTCCATTTGCTTTACATTTTAATGACATTGTGTTCTGTAATATAATTACAGTGTAGAAGCCTTTAAAATTTCAATCTGCTGAAAATGTTTTGTTGGTGTCAGAAGACAAAGAAATATTGTAATACATGGAAGAAGTCAAAATTTAGCTTTTATTTGTATTTTTTAAATTCATTTTCAAAATAGCTCTGATAAATATGTTTTGTAACCTTGAGTTTTTATCTTATAAATTATATGAGGAATATTTATGAAATCTTACTATAAAAGCAGTTTTATTGCAAGCATATGTATACAAAACTAAGATGTAATATGTTCATGTTTCTAGGATTCTTTTAGAGCTGGCTTCAATACAATCAAAATTTCACATGATAGTCCATAATCCTGTCAGTTTCATTTTGAGTAACTCAGAAACTCTGAAGAATATGGGACAGGCTAATGATACTGTCTCTAAAAACTTGATATCACCTTTGTCAGTACATTTTCATTCAACGTAACAGACATTTGAGGCTTTATTTCTCTTCAGTAACATCTTTTTTCATAAAATATCAAGGTATCACTTGGGAAACATTTTTTTGTAAGCAAAATACAAAATAGATAAATGTCATCCGCTCGGAGGAAACCAGAGCTTTCTAGATGCTCACAGTCATATGAAGCCTATAGTACTGACCAATACATTTCAGTTACTGGATGAATGCTGAAAATTTCTGTCAACCAGATTTGTAAAAAGCAACCCTGTGAATGTTAGGCATAGGGTCTTTGAAAATGACAATACCTGGCTGTCATTGTATTTATATAACCTTTTTTTCCCCTTTCTCCTTACTGAGCAACATTTCAGTTGATTATATTTGTTGGCAATTTCTATCAAAATAAAACTTATATGTTCATCTTTATGAACTCAATATTTTTTTCTCAGATTTAGTTGTAGGTAGAATTTAATTTTTTTTGGTTGGCTTGTATTTTCCAATGATTCTGAATAAAGAGCAGAAACCTCAAAGTTCTATTTATTTTCCTTTGACTTTTTCTCTAGCAACATACTAAATTGAGACTTTTTACATGTGCTTGTAGACAAATTATACTGATAAGAATAAATAAGCCAATAAACTCAAGAGGGATAAGCTACCACAGATTTAATACTTCGTCAATCTATAGTCTCATTTTTCTGAAATATCTGGGAAGCGGGCAGTGTTAAGAAGTTTAGCCATCTATCAAGCATTAGATAAAAAAAGTTTTTTTTGTTTCACGTGTTTTCCATCATTTGTCAGTCTTACTTGATTCTTTGATTTCAAAATAACAGCAAAACTATACTTGTTTATACATCGATTAGGTTGTAGATCACCTTGAATTAGCCATTGGACACAACACTCGGTCTCTCAAGTTCAGTCTTTAAAGGCTTTTATAACAATCTGGTATTTCAATGGTGAATGGAAGAGAAAGAGGTAGAGTTCCCATTAGCTGCTGAGAATTGTAATAATCTGATTTGCATTTTATTCATGTCACAGCTTGTGAAATAGTTTACATATAATGAAAAGAGGATGCCATCTTTTAGATTTTTGAGCAGAGAAAATTGTTATTTTGACACTTTTTAATTGTCCAAGCTGTGAAGATAATAATCTATGTTTGGAAAAGAGTTGGTACTGAAACAAATTGGTTTATAAGAGGAATTCCAGTATTATAATTTTTCAAGCTCATATAAATATGTATTTGTATTTTTCTCACTCTCACTCTCCATCGGTGACTCTCAATTTCTTTTTTGGAATGAATTCTATTTGATTAAGCTGGCTGTCATTCCAGCTGGCATAGCAGATACTGTGCCTCATTTATGCCCAGAGTTCAGCATTCAAACCTTACGCTATGTAGAGGCGTGGAAGCCAATGCACCTTCTCTCAGGGCTTTAATTCAATTTAAGATTAGAAGAGACACCTCTGCACATCTGCTAGCTCCCAAGGGAAGGGAATTGTTCTGCCTGGTCCATTGTTATCCTGGTGCTTGGGTTGCAGCCAAGAGCCACACACTGATGAAAATAACTGAGATTTGAGAGATCCTACCCAATGCTAGAGTGGGCTCCCAGGCTGTGTTTGCTTCCAGGCCTGGGGGATCTTCCTATCTGTACCCTCATGCACAGTTATTTGAAGGAAGCCAGTTTCCTGCTGATCTTTACCTTCAATCATGAAGGCTACTACCTGGGCACTTGGGCAGGGCTAGATTCTCTCCAGAATGGTAGAATTCAACTCCAGTCCCTGACTGGGTGGGGGGCAGTGGCTCCTCTGGGCTCTGACACACTTCTTGTGGCACAAGGCTGTCTAACATCAGCAGCTGAGCTGAGCCCTGAGAAAGAAAAGCGCAGCTGTGTGGCTAACAAGGTGATGCAGTTTCCCAAATTGATGCATATGGAGCTCTGGAAACATTCCCTGCTGCTCTAATGGACTGAAGACTGCTTGTGGAAGAGCAGCTCCTTAAGGGCAGGATGAGCGTCCTGATGGGCTAAGTCAAGAAGCTTCCACGCATTAATGACATATAGGAAGACAGAACCACAGTTTCTCTTCTCTACTCAGTGCCAGGGCCGCCGGCCTACTCAGTTTTGTTTGTATCTTCCCATGTGGAATCTTAATGCCCATATTTGCTACATTTATGGTTTAGACCACATATGTTAACCCACAAATAATACCTCTAAACATGGGGTATGTGAGGTAAGCTGAAGGAGTGTGAGGGGGAGATACATTCCATTTCTCTCCAATCACTTTGGAAGCTTCTTGCACATTTACTCATTTCTCTCCAGCTCTGTCTTCTTCTCTGTGCTATAGGCTACTACTGTCCCTTTATAGTGAGCGCAGCTGAACAGCCTTGAAAGTCAACTAAGGAGGAACAGTATAGCAGGCTAAAAGAGACCAGTTCTCTGAGAACTAGTCTTTTTTTTTTTTTCAATTTATTTGCTACGTATTAGTTGGTGCAAAAGTAATTTTGGTTTTTGCAGTTAAAAGTAATTTCCCTTCACATTTTAATTGACTTGAGCAAATATGGTGAACCACTTATGCTCTATGCAGTTATTATAAATATGGGAGATATTAGAGGGCTGAGGAGCAGTCACAAGGTATCCAGAGAAAGATCCTTTAGTTATTACTAAAGGATAATGTTAGATTTCTTTTCGTGTTGCCAAGGGTTACCCCTTTTACAGATGAAAGATAAATAAACTCTGCCTTGGTTTTAAATGCTGGTCAAAAAAACCTGGAGTCCTAGAATGCAACTAAATTCAAAAAAGGGGTAATGTTCTTTAAATGATCTGAATAAAATTATAAATAAATATAGCTGTATAAAGAAAGATTTTCTTTCTTTCAAACTGCATATTTATTGTGGGTATTTGTGTACATGTATGTGTTTGTGTTTCTACACTTTTTAAGTACACATTATACTTTACAAGTTGATTCATAATAGATATACATAGTGTTTGGATACTCGTGATAACTTAATACATTTGTATATTTGTAATCAAATCAGTGTCCTGGGAATATTCATAACCTGAGATATTTATGCTTTCTTTTTTTTTTTTTTTTTTTTTTCTTTGAGACGGTGTCTCCCTCTGTTGCCCAGGCTGGAGTGCAGCGGCACAATCTGGGCTTACTGCAAACTCCGCCTCCCGGGTTCAAGCAATTCTCCTGTCTCAGCCTCCTGAGTAACTGGGACTACAGGCTCATGCCACCATGCCTGGCTAATTTTTGTATTTTTAGTAGAGACAAGGTGTCACTATACTCATGAGACTGGTCTCGAACTGCTGACCTCAGGTGATCCACCCGCCTTGGCTTCCCAAAGTGCTGGGATTACAGGCATGAACCGCTCTGCCCAGCCAATATTTATCTTTTCTTTATGCTAGTACCATTCTATACTTTAATTGTTTAAAATCTATTTCTCTCACTCATCTCTTTGGACTAGCACCTAACTCAGCACCTCTTGCAGGCGTTAAATACTGTAAATGGTTTCTTCAGCGAATAATTAATTAAAATAAAAAACTCAAATACCTTTTCTGTGATGTAAAGGGTTGTAAAGAACTTTATTCCTTGGTTATAATTAATGACAGAAAAAAAATCTCACTGGCAGCTGTTTATGTAAGGAGCCATTTCAGTTGGTACACTTTTCTTACAAATTTGTTTCTTTATAACTCTACTGGGCTTCAAAACCAGAAGTAGAGAAGAATGACATGATTCATTCTTAATGTTGCACTTGCTTGTTTCTATATATCAGTAGATAAGAAAATATATTTCACCCACTGAAAACAATCAGTAGCAGGGTTACTTCACTCATGTCATTTTGCAGTAGACATCAAAATTGCAAGAATACTTGAAGTTCTTATTTTCAAAAAGTTGAATGTGCTACCAAACTGATTTTGGGGTACTACACTAAAAATTCTAAGGCTTTGTTAAATATTACTGGTGACAATAAATGTAAGCTGCACTATTTAGCAAGAAAAAGATGCACAAATATTTCTATAGGTGTGTCTGCTTACAAAGAGATATGTCTGCAATTCCCGCTTCTTTTCTAATGGGCCAATTTCTGAACTCATTATGCCTTTCTGGACTTCATTTTGTTCTCTCCTGCCACTCCCTTGAATTTTCCTTTTATTGTGGCCCTGTTTTTGCTGAGGTTCTATTAGTATAATTTCTGAATCCCCTCTTTTTCCCTCAACCACAACTTAGACTAAATAGTTGCTGCAAACACGCATTCAAATGATCCACCCATGCTTGAAATTTTACAATTAACTTGAAAGGCAATGATCAAAACTCTTCTAAGTCGTTTACAGTGCGGTACAAATGAGATAACTGCTAGCAGATGTTGATGTTCAAAAGATAAGAACAAGAGCAAGATGCGGGAGAACTTTGTTACTATAGAAGATAAAGGGTATGAAAAGGTGATAAAGGGGATCAAAGGCAAACGTGATGTACTAAATCCTTCTATCAAGAGCAAGACCAGTTAGTTGTACGTGAAGCTTTGCTGGTTGTTTGGTTACTCTTTCCAACCATTATACCATATTATTAAATTACAAGATATGATTACTTCCTCAATTAAGTTATTATTTCAACAAATTATTGAGTCAATACTTAGATCAAGCGGGTTTTTTAATGGAGAAAACAGAGATGGATATCATGCTTTTGCTTTTCCTGAAACCAAATCAGGCAGCATCACAGATTTTTTTAAGGAGGAGAATGGCCATAGGTCATATCCTTGTGAACCATTTTTTAAATTATTTTCCAAAAGATTTAGTATTGTAGGTAAACTGATGCAAACATTTTTATAAACGTAAAACTTTATATATTTATTAAAATAAAAATAAACACTTTTAATACATACTGTGAGTTTCTGCCACAAGAAGAATTTGTGGCTTTTAAAACCCTAGTGAATAAAATTAGACTAGAAGAAAAAAGCTTATTTCTTTTACAATCCAAATTAATCTCTGGCCTAAGTAACTAACTGCATGTGATGGCAGAACCTGCGAAAAGTGACAACAATGAAATACTTTACTTTTTCCCGCCACCACCCTAAACCCACCACCTACCCTAGAGTTCCAGGATTCTTTAAAGGAAGTTGTATTCCATTCTAGGAAAGTTCATATCAAACAACAAGACAGCTCATCACCATGATTGATAACCACATCACTCTGAGCCTTGCCGAACATCTACATGACTAAACCAGAAGCTGTTTATCAAGAATTGCATATCAATTAATAAACAAAACCAAAGGGAATTACTAGCATTATCACAGAAAGCATTTAAAAAATGTTATGCATCTTTTACTCCCCAAATACAGTTCAGATCTGTAATTATTCTTATTTTTACTGAAAATGATCAGAATTTAAATACTATTTTATTAACTGGAAGTCCAAGATATCATAATGGATTTAAAACTGAACGTGTTATATGAGCTTGGCATAGCAGTCATGATCAGCTAAAATTCTCAGCACAGTATTGGAACAGGTTCAGGAGAACTCAAATTGGTAGCCATCAATTAAGCATAGATTTGGAGCCTTTCCTAGTTTTCTTTTCTTATCTTTCTCTGTTTTGTTCTTCCTCTTTTCCTTCCTTCCTTCCTTCTTTTGAAGTTTTGATTTGATCTAGCCACAAACTTGGCCCTTGTTTCAAAATAATTAATAAGGTACATTTAGCAAGGAGAATTAAGTACAATCAGAAACTGTAACCTTGGGATATTGATTTGCTTGTAGAAAACATTGATTGTCTCCTATAGAGATAAATTCAACTATTTTGGCTACATCCAAACACTTAATCCAAAGATTAACTCTGATCCTTGTTTAGTCTGCTAAAAAGACTTGTAAGAAACATTGCCAGAAAGAGTGTGTGTGTGTGTGTGTGTGTGTGTGTGTATGTGTGTGTGTATTCACAGGAAAGAGAATTGGACTGAAGAATGAAGGGACTTTATTTCTTCTCCCAACTGTGATAGTATAGGCCACATGATGTGTGTAATTCATTTCATGATCTCTAGCTGTTTTTGTCATCTCTGTAATGGAAAGCAAAATGAGATTTTATCTTAAATAGCTTTTGGATCAAAAATTCTAAGCCTATGAAAGATGCAATGTTAATACTTCTTTGTTGAATTTTCCAAAAATAGGGCTATGTCTGAATTTCCACAGCTGTAAATTGATACTGTTAGATGTAAAAAGGTGACTAGAATGTAGTATCAAAACTCCAGGAGTGTATTTTCCTGAACTCTTAATCTTTTTCTAGTTCTACTTTATCTCAATTGTTAGGCTGATCTTAGATAATTGATTGCAAATAAAGTTTAATACAGAACTATAAATTGCAATTAGGATTTATATAAACAACTCAGGATAGATCTGGTGGGTCATTCCTTTGGAAAGGTATGTGGTAGATATATTGACATATCATAAATTTTAGGCTTATCATCATTTATTGGAATTTTCACAATGTAGTTGGCATTCTATGAAGACGTAATGGGGTTTATATACTTTGGATAACGTTGACAACCTGTATGCCAGTTGTAGAAAATCCAATTTTTCTCCCTTTCAGCTTGCTTCCTTGTTTTGACAAGTTTCTTTAAATTTTCTATTTTTGCTCTTTCTTTGTAATTCTAAATAGTACTACTTACTATCCCAACCTAAATTTGACAGTATCCTCACTTTTTTAGTGTCCTTTTATAAAATGAGCTTTATTGCGTTATTTCGTTTTTCAAATATATAGAGAATCCTAACATGTTTGTCCTTTATATACATCTCTGCTGCAAAGCCTATGTATGTAGAATCACTCTGTCTCTAAAATTGTGCTTTAATGGCTGTAGGACAGGTCCTTGTTTGTTAACATACAAATGCAAATAAACAAATGTAAAACACATAATTATTTTTATCCCCCTCCATTGAATTTGAAACTGAGCAGAAGGTGGAATAGTGAAATCACATGAGAAATACACCAATTGAAATCCTTTCTTAACCAAATAATTAGCTGAAAGTAAGGCTGTATAGTTCTTTTCACTCTTCTTATTTTCCATTAGCTGTTATAACAAATAATTGACTTTCTGGGGTTCTTTTTACTCTTCTTATTTTCCATTAATTATTATACCAAATAATTGACTCTAGACATTTTTACCATAGAAGAAAGATTTAAGAGTTTCATTCGTTCAATATGCTGTTTTTTAAGCAACCATTGATTAAATATTTGTAGTACATTCTGTGCTGGGTGCTGAGGATAGGGAAACGAATGAGGGAAATAAATCTTAACAATTAAAGTACAGTAGATGTTTAAGATCCTGACAAAAGAAAGAAATACAAGTAAGACATACACATACACCCACGCACAACTGTATTTACTACACTTTGCAAAGAGAAAAACAGAATTTTTCTGAAGTTGATTCATTTAAGTGTCAGTCATTTAAATGTGTTTTACATATTTCCCGAAACATAGAATGAACCTTTGAGATTTATATTTTGTTGGTCAAATATAGTTGTAAGAAGGAAGTGTCTTAGACTACAGCTGATGTTTTTTTACCTGATTCTGTAAGCAATAAAAGTCAAACATTGCCAGTGTGGGGTAACTTATATGCTAAGAAAAGCAGCTCTGCCCTCTGATGCTAACACAAAGAGGGTTTTAGGCAAAGGCAGCTGTTCTTCATCATCTATATTGAGAAATAGTAGTATTGCTTTTATGGACATGGTTACTTCCTACAGCAGAAAGAAAGAAAGCAAACAAAACCCCATATATTGTTTTGAGATGTCTAGAATGCAGAAGAACTGGAGAATACTTTCTGATTTTGTTCAGCATTCAGGATACTGATGGCATGGAAAGCTGTGTTATCAAAGCCACACACATGCGAACACAGACTGGAAAGAGGCTTCTTTAGGTAAAATATTTTGTTTCACTTTGCTTCTGTAAAAACAGCTTCAGGAGTCTAGCTTCAGAACATTGGATTGGTAATATATTTTTCTTTCAAAAGATAAGCCCCACAAAGGCAATGTCTGTTTCTCTCTTTACAGGTGCAGGCAACTACAGCTTTGCTAAAACTGGCAGTGACAGGTCAGGGAATGTGTTCACAGACTAGGGGGCCTCCTGATCTGAATTGTAATAATCCCCCTGCAGTGAGCCAGATACCACATCTCCCTTCTCCCTACTTTGTTTTGCTAAATAATGATAATATATACAGGAAAAATAGCTCTTACACTTTTTTATTGGCTTGGAAATTAAGATAGTAAACATTTTTAATGTTCAAATTATATTTCTTTAAAAGAGGCTGGCATCACTTTTCTCATTCCCTTATTGAAACTCAGTTTAAGTATAAAATATAAAAACATTACTTATCATGCAGCATGTTGATCTTACGTTTTCTGGATTAAAAATATGAATAGCACCTAAAATATATTATTTTTCCTATCAGAAATATATAATCATATGTGCTTTTCTATTTTAAGTATTTAGTCTTTCTTTAGAAATAAATTACTATATCAGCAACATGACAGCTTATTTCTAATTTTCTAATATGCACCTATTTGTATATACAAGCATGCCCTTATCTATAATGATAGAAGCTTAAAATCAACTGGAGTAGCATTAATAATGGACTGGCTATAAAAACTAGTATAATCATTTATTTCATAAAATAGGTATGTATTAAAAGCACATCAATAATATTTAGAAACTGAACATTTATCAATATATATTGTTAAATTTTAAAAAGCAGGTTACAATATAGTATAAATAGTATAATCTCAATTTACTTATATCTATGTAGGAATAACAATACAAACTTTAAAAGTATTATCACAAATACCTCCCACATGTTTGAATTGTGAGTGATTTTAAATTTCTATGAAGATATGTTACTTCTTTTTTTTATTATTATTATACTTTAAGTTCTAGGGTACATGTACACAACATGCAGGTTTGTTACATATGTATACATGTACCATGTTGGTGTGCTGCACCCATTAACTCGTCATTTACATTAGCATTCCTAATAGTATTACTTCTCTGAAGTGAGGAAACGTTGCAAATTGTTTCCTAAACTGAGGAACAATTCAAAGTAGATGCTATTTATCTCCCTGCATTGTTAGTGATGTAGTCTCTCTATGAGCTAACAGGTAAGGTGTTTGATATGAAATACTAGTCATCTTTTTAAAGTCTGAAAAGTAAGTCTCTAAGTTTCATATGAAAAAATTACCCTTTAATAATCTGAATGTACATTTTTAAAAGCACGAGGGAAAAAGGAGAGAAAAGCGTATGTTCTTTTGTCCTTTCTTAGATTTGGTACACAGTGTAGTGGACCTCACTGTAGAACTTAACCTCCGGTTGCACCATATTGCAACCAAATTTTTTGCCTGCATGTTACTACCCCAGGCCCGGCTAATGTAGCAGTCTTTTCAGACCCTCCTTAGTGTGACTGTTTTGTTGTTGTTGTTGTTATTGTTTGTCTTATACTCAGACTTTTTGTTTAGATCAACTGCTTACTGAACTGGCTCGTTAATTAGTGCTAATGGAAAGAGGTGAAAGAAAACCTGGAACTAAGGGGAAAAAAAAAATACAGTATTGGGGCAATTCTTGCTTATGTTATCTACTCCTGGCACTGCTCAAAAGTATTTGAATTCCTAGCTGTTGTGCCCTCATAACAGTGAATTACCCGGGCCCTGACTATGTTCATACTAAACTGTGGCCTCATGCAACCTGGTAGTGATTCTTCTGAAACTCAATAATTCATTTCTAGATGCCAGCAGGGAATTTTAATCATATATGAAGGACCTGGAGGGCTACTCAAAAAAGTCCATGGTGTGAATCATGTTATACAAGGAACAGTTGAAGAAGGGGGTATGTTCAATTGGAAGAAGTGTAAGTGCAAAATGATAGCTGATTTTCCATTGTTGAAGGAGAATAGGGAAGCTATGGATCCGCAGTGTCTCCAGAGGAAGAATGGGACACTGGGATGAAAAAAGTCACAGGCAGCCAGATTTTAACTATGGGAGGAAGATCTGTCTATTCATCAGAAGTGTTTCAAGTCACTATTGATGTTCATTTGGAGACAGAATTAATTTCTCCTTCAGTTACTTTCTTATAATATTAAATTTGTTATAGCTTTGATATTATAGTCATGCATTTTTAATTTTTGTCCATCACTATCAACTGAATCATAAACATCTTGTTTAAACTTCTTATCAATCATACAAAATAGTGTCTGAAAACAATATCAGCAAGGAGTGAAAGAAGGGATAAAAGAAGGAGTATCAAAGAATTATCATCAGGGAGATATTCTAAAGTGGAGAGAGAAAGATAAAATGGAAGTATAAATGCAAAGTCTTCTTAGATACTGTCAAGCTCAGAAATAATAAAGAATTTAATTAATTTATATGAGTGAATGAGTCTGAAAATCCTAAACAATTTTATCGTGTAAATATGGATATTGATAAAATACTGATACTGTCATATCACAACACATGTTGATAATAAGAAAATCTGCATGGCACACTAGAGGAAACTAACCAGAGACTATTGTCTCCATGACTCTCACGGCCCCAAGTCATAGCCAACTGCTTCATTGTTCCATCTTAAAAGATGTGCCAAAAACCAAAGATCATCATGCATTTGAGGAAAACTACATTATAAAACAGAAAAACAAATATTGAATGAGAGATAAGTAATAAAATATCGATAAGAATACCTAAACCACTTCCCCCAACATCTATGAAAATTCAAGTTACAATTATATCTAAAATAAAATTATATCTATTAGAAAAATGGAATAATTAGAGATTAAGTGCTTATGTGTAATATTTGAAGACATGTTAATGGAAAAAAAGAAGCATATTCTAAAGAAATAGAACAAAACCTCAAAGAGTTTTATATATCCCCTCTGAATTTATATATATAATAAATTTTATATTTATATATATTTATATATATTATATATAATATAATAATATATGTAAACTCTTTGAGGTTTTGTTCTATTTCTTTACTATTTTTCCTCATATATATGAGGAAAATTAATAAAAAGAAAAATAATAAAAAGAAAAAACACAAACAAAGAGAATCTGAGAATAAGAATTCCAGAAAAAGGATAGAAGAGCAAAATTTATAATTTCACACATCTAAGCATACAAGCTACAGATTACCAGTTTCACCCAGTGAATATGCCTGGTAATGAATGAAAAAAAACATACTTCATTTTAGCTATTAGAATACCAAAGATGAAGAAACTTTTTCCAAAATTTCAGAGGGAAGAAAGAAAATTTTTACAAAATCAGAACAAAAGAAGTAAGAAACAAATGGAACAAGCCACTTTAAATAGAGAATCAAAGTGGCATTAGACTTCCAGAGAGCAACATGAAAGCACAGTTGCTAGAAGTAAATGGAGCAATGAATTTTATGTTACAAACAAAAATGGTGCTTAACCAAAAATTTTATTTTCAGCCAAATGACCAATATATTCCAAGAACAAATTCAAGGAAGTTCACATACAATATACTACCCAAATATGTTTGGAAGATATGCTGGGGTCTTCTTTTCAGAATAAGGAACTAAAGCAAGCAGGAATTACAGGTGACATGAAGAGAACAGAGGTACCCATCTAATAAAGCAGTGAAGGAAAGAAGGTGCATGGAGAACTGGTGTGGGAACTACTTAAAAAATAAGATTTAATAATATACTGATATCAGTGAGTCTTTGGAAAGCACTGATGATATAGTAGAGACAAATAGGGTGCAAACAAGAAACATAATTAAAGCTCTATAAAAACAAAATATGCATAAAAAGTGAATATCCTAAACTGGCAAAGGATGACTGCTTAAAGTCCTATGAAGATATTTTTTGGCAAACTCATATAAATCAATACACAAGTGCAACTCAAATTCAGGATAGGAAAATATAAAATTATATTATCTGGGTTATGGGCTCAGATTTGCTATCTACAAATTGTGTTTGACCGTATATGGTGAGCTTGCATGAATCCTTTATTGAAAGAGTGAACCATTTTGAAGCTAAAGGGTGATGCTATCAGCTACCCAATTCAACAGGCATATAACCATTTCTCTGTAAACTAAGGGGTGAGTGGCATAGTAATTGAGAACAGCGGCTCTGGAATTAGCTCTACAGTACAATAAGCTAAAACTAAAGTTGTACAACCTTGGGTAAATTACAGATAGCCTCACTTGCCTTAGTTTCCTCACCTGTAAAATATAGATAACAGTTACTTTCTCATACTGTTGTGAGAATTAAATTTGTTAAAACAAGGAATGTGCTTAAAACAGGGCCTTTTGCCTGGGCGCGGTGGCTCATCTCTGTAATCCCAGCACTTTGGGAGGCTGAGACAAGTGGATCACCTGAGGTCAGGAGTTCCAGATCAGCCTGACCAACATGGAGAAACCCCATCTCTACTAAAAACACAAAAAATAGCTGGGCATGGTGGTGCATGCCTTTAATCCCAGCTAACTCGGGAGGCTGAGGCAGGAGAATCGTTTGAACCCGGGAGGCAGAGGTTGCGGTGAGCCAAGATCACGCCATTGCACTCCAGCCTGAGCAACAAGAGTGAAACTCCATCTCAACAAACAAGCAAACAAGCAAAAAACAGGGCCTTTTATAATAAGTTATTACCCCATACAGTAGTTTCAAAAATTAAGTGAATATATTTAAAAAGGGAAAACACAGAATGTTGTCTAATACATCACTTTTTTTTAACTAAACAAATTTTTATTACACAAAGGTTGTCACATAATTGGATATTTCTCTACTTTGTACACAACTATTCTCACTCTCCACAGAAAGGCTGCTTAACTTCTCATCTGGTGGTGGCAAGTACTAAAATCCTGATTTTAACAGAATAGTAGTAAAAATGCCTCAGTGATTTAGGTTGAAAGCAGTACATTGGTACATGGCTCTTGTACCCAGTATCAGGAATGTACAAATGTTTTTTATTCAAAAATACAAAATAAATTATCTGTAGGCATGGACAATGACAGCAGTAAACCATTATATATTTTGTCAACTGAAACCAGTAACTGATGGTTATAGTGATTTTCAGCCAGCCTTTTTTTCATTTTCTCCAACTGACTTCTCTGAAGTTATTGGTGAGGAACACTGCCTTGGGCTTCCTGTCACAGTTCATTAATAAAGGTAAAGCACTAGTCTAGGAGTTAGAACATGCCACCTCCCATACCACCTCCCATTCCACCCATTGCACCCATTCCAGGGTCCTTCTCTTCTTTAGGAATTTCTGTGACTACAACTTCTGCTGTAGTTAACAGAGAGGCCACACCAGCAGCATCCAATAAAGCAGTTCTCACAAGCTTTGTTGGGTCAATAATTCCTTTTTCTACCATATTCATAAAATCTCCAACCATAGCATCATAACCAACTTCTGAGGAATTTTGCATAATTTTCTCAACTATCAAAGATCCTTCAACACCTGCATTCGTAGCAGTGGTCATTGCTGGAATTTTGAGTGTTCTTTTAATAATTTCCATACCAATTTTTTGATCTTCATTAGCTGGAGTCAATGAGTCCAAGGCTGGAATGCATCGAAGGAGGGCAAAACCCCCTCCCAAAACAATGCCTCCTTCAACAGCAGCTCTTGTAGCATTAAGGGCATCTGTAACTCTGTCTTTCTTTTCATTCACTTCAACATCACTTGTCCCACCAAACTTCAGCACAACTACTCCATCTGAAAGTTTTGCCAGCCATTCATTCAGTTTTTCCTTTTCATATTCACTAGTTGTGACATCTAACTGCCCAATGATTTCTTGAATACGTTTTTCAAGTTGAGCCTTGTCACCTTTTCCTTTTAAGAGCATGGCATCGTCTTTGGTCACAATGACCTCTCCAACTTTTCCTAAGTCATGAGGCTGAACATCTTCAAGATTCAGGGTCAACCCCTCTTCTCCAAACACTGCACCACCAGTAGCAATAGCCATATCTTTAAGTTGGTTCTTTCTATTGTCACCAAACCCTGGAGCCTTGACTGCCACAACCTGAAGACCAACCTTTAGCCTATTCAAGATGAGTGTACTTAGAGCTTCTCCATCAACATCTTCAGCGATTATCACCAAAGGCTTATGGTGAGCATTGGCAATTTCAAGAGCAGGTACAATGGACTGGACACTAGAAATTTTCTTTTCACTCAACAGAACATAGGCATCCTGGAATTCACATTTCTGACCTTTTGATGTATTAATAAAGTATGGAGAAATATACCCTCAATCAAACTTCATGCCTTCAATAATTTCTAATTCATCATTCAGTGTTTTTCCATCCTTTACTGTGATGACACCCTTTCTTCCAACCTTTTTCATTGCATCAGAGATGATATTGCCAATTTCTTTGTCTCCATTTGCAGAAATCATAGCAACCTGTGCAATTTCTTCAGGGGTGGTCACAGGTTTAGACTGCTTTTTAAGTTCAGCAATTACAGCATCAACAGCTAACATCACACCTCTCCTGATTTCCACTGGATTAGCACCTTTGCTAATCTTCTGGAAGCCTTCCTTGGCTATAGAGCCTGCCAGTACAGTAGCAGTGGTAGTGCCATCCCCAGATTCTTCATTTGTGTTATTGGCAACATCTTGAACAAGTTTAGCTCCAATGTTTTTATATTTATCCTTCAAGTCAATTGACTTTGCAACAGTCACACCATCTTTTGTTACGTTGGGACTTCCCCAGCTCTGCTCAATAATCACTGTTCTTCCCTTTGGCTCCATTGTAACGGCCACAGCATCGGCTAAAAGGTCTACCTACACCTTGAAGCATTAAGGCTCGGGCATCTGCACCAAATTTTACATCTTTGGCATAAGCTCGAGTGAGATGAGGAGCCAGTACCCTGGACACTGGTCTCATCTGGCGAAAGACTGTGGGTAACCGAAGCATTTCTGTGGGGCGGCTGCAGGGCATGCGCGCGGCGAGACAGGTTGTCGGCGGCGAGTGAGGGACAGAGTGCTAATATATCACTTTTAAAAAGCAAATAAATGTGGCAGTTGTACTATAAATGGAACATACAGACATCTGCCAAATTATGAGAGCAATACAGCCAATCTATGTCTGGTTCAAATAACCTGTTTTTTTCTGATTTAAAAATCAATTTGAAATACTGATAAAGTAATAAAAATACGTCTTTTTGTTAATTTCTATGATTGCTTTACGTCATCCTCTGTGTGTGGCTGTGCATGTGGCAATAAGCAAATTAAATATACGTCACAAACATTTGGACATGAGAATAAATTCAGATAAAATGTGACTTCCAGTAATGGAAGAATCATCATGATGCATCATTGCTTAATTTATAATGGCATAACAAAGAAATCCAGTGACAATAACCGTCTGAAGCTAAAATGGTATTACTGAAACCTGAACATTGGCTCTAATTAAATACTGGCAATATTGTTTGATATATCTTTACAAATATTGCTTTGTAATCTAGTTTTCATTTTAGTAAAACGCTTATTATTTATCTTGAATTTCCAATCAATACATCATAAACTATCAAAATGCATCTACATTCACAGCCTGGATATTAGACTGATTTCTTCTCACTTTTGCAGAGTATCAACATGTGAATTACAATGGTGCTAGATTTTTAAATGATATTAATAAGAACAAAAGAAAAAAGATCCATGATTCAAAACATATTATGCATATCTGATCTTAGGCAAGTGTAGCTACTGTGGAAAATTCCTTGCATACTTTTTAAGTATTCAGGTAATTTGAAATTATATATGCAGATCCATTAGTAACCATTTTGTATCAGATAAACTAATATATAAAAATGATACGAAGTTTAACCAAATAGACTATTTGTTTACTTAAGTAAACAAAAATGAGTAGTGTATTTCTAGAAAGTTCAATTCCAAATTTAAAAAAAATGGAAAAAATATGTTGTGCCAAGAATGTCCAAACAAACAAAATAAAACAGCTTAGTTATTTTATGAAGAACTTCTCTGTTCCCTGGAGGTGGACTAGGGTAGTGGCTGTGAGCAATGGCTTTGGTGTCAACTGTTTGAGTTTGCCCCAGCTCCACCACTTAACTAAAAGTCAAGACTCCAGACAACCCGCGTCATCATCTAGATGTTAGTTTTGCATTTATAGAAATGGTGCAAATAATAGAAAATAGGATGGGTTTAAGCATTAAATATAAGAATGCATATAAAATGTTTTGCACAATGTTTGACACATTGTAATAGCTCCATAAATATTGTTAAGTTCCTCTCCTGTTTTAGGAAAGAAGAGAGAGTTGCAAATGAGAAGTATTTTCTGAGTTTCCCAAAAGAAATCATATAAAATAAAGTTTTTAGAATACTACATTTCAGCAGTTTTTTTTCATTTTTCTTTTTCATTCATTTTTATACCTTATATTCTCTGTGCATAGTGCAGTGTGAGCTGCTAAAATAGTGGTCACTTAATAGATGGCTTATAAATAAAAAACTAAGATTTTATTATTCTCCCCGAGGGGTAGCTAAAGAAGTGCCCTGGCATTAAATATATAACTTTAGAGACAGTCACTAGAAACACAGGTGAAGTTTCCTATGTTTCTGTACTCTGGAAATGATGGACGATTCAACTCTGCACTTGAGTGCAAAATCCCACTCTTCAGAACAAGAAATTGATAAACCCTGACTCCATGAAACTTTCTCTCTCACGATCAAAAATACTGAGAGCTGGGGTGCACTGGGACTCTACTTTCTATTAGACGTCACAACGAGTGAGTGCCTGTGGATAAACAAATGTTAGGGCAAAAGAAAAGAAAGGAAGGAAGGAAGGAGAAAAGAGAAAGAAAGAAAGAAAGAAAGAAAGAAAGAAAGAAAGAAAGAAAGAAAGAAAGAAAGAAAGAAAGAAAGAAAGAAGGAAGGAAGGAAGGAAGGAAGGAAGGAAGGAAGGAAGGAAGGAAAGAAAGAAGGGAAGGAAGGAAGGAAGGAAGGAAGGAAAAGAAGGAAGAAAGAAAAGAGGGAGGGAGGGAGGAAGGAAGGAAGGAAGGAAGGAAGGAAGGAAGGAAAGAAGGAAGGAAGGAAGGAAAGAAGGAAGGAAAAGCATTGTATATAGAGCACCCCAGTGCTGGGATGATCCCCATCTACAGACAAGAACTTAGTGCCCTAACGTCACAGTCTAGAAGAAAGACATAAGCATGACTCCAGTAGAAGGAAACTAACAGATTCTATAGAAAAGATAACACTGATAGCAACACTGTTGACTGAAGGGTAAGGTAGTTGGAAGGAAATATAACTTTGTTTGAGCCATAGGTACTCATCAGGGTACAATTCAGGGAATGAACAAAACTGCTATTCAAACTTCCAAGTCGGTGAACCCTCTACCTGAATGTGGCCCCAGGTTCAGTACTGTAAGAAGTAAGCTGATAACTTGGAACTGACCCTGAGTCCCAGCAAGCATTGTGGACTCCAGATTGCCAGGTGGACTTTTGGGGCCAGCTGCTAAATTAGTATAAGCAAGGACATCAGAACTGTCTGCTCACAGCTTCTTTCTTAAGACCACTCACTTATAATTTGTAATTGTACCAGGCAAAACTGCCATTCTCTAAGTTTTCCATCTACCTGTTAGATCAACTATTAATTGAATCCATGACTTTAATATTCCGAATCCTCTTGTGATCCTGAAGAATTTGTTCTTGCTGTCGACCGCTTTTCATTAGGTTTCCTTTCCATCTCTTTGGCTGGGTCATAAAATAAATTCATGGGTAATCTGATCTAGCTATAATTCACTCTCCCTTAAACTTTTAATCTCTTTTTATTTTTTAATCTGCACTATATTTTACCCCTGGCTTACAACTTGAAAGCTTTAAAAAATACTATACATAAAAAATTCCACATAATGATATATTGACCAAAATATTTTTAAAAATACTTTTAGTATAATGAGAGAAGCCTCATGATAGATAAGGGAATAATAACTTAATTGATTAAGAGCCGTAGCTTTCACTTAGAGATAATAGTATAGTTAATTCAACTTTTGTCATCAAATACACACTTTAAAGTAGCATCAAATATATTTCACTGCCATAAGTAACAAAAACGTCTTCCAGATATCTGCATGTATTGTGGAGGCACTAGGTTAAGTTCACTGTTCCCTGTAGTGTGCATCAAAATTATACTTTAGTGATAGAATGGCTCTTATCTTTTCTTTCTTTTAATGTGCTGCTTAAAAAGTTCAAAGTGGTTAATAGATAAACTGTTATCCTATGAAATAGTAATGACATATATATTTTAATTTGTTTTCAGTGGGCTTTGAAACTGCTGTCCAACTTTTAAAGTTTTTTTTATAGTGTGAACATGCAAGTCATCATGAGAATGATTACTATACTGTAACTCCTTCAAATGCAAATCATACCAGCCACTCTTGAGAGAGAACCATGTGAAGTAAAAATTTGATAGCATGTGAACGGAAAATGGAAAAATCCATCAAAATTTAATTTCAGCAACTCTCAATACAGTTAGTCTTTTTGGATAGAATATCAACATAGACATTTTTCTCTTTTTTCTTTTTTTCCTCCCTCCCTCTCTTTCTTTCCTTTCTTTCTTTCTTTTTCTTTCTTCCTTTCTTTTCTTTTTCTTTCTTCTTTCTTTTTCTTTCTTTCTCTCTCTTTCTTTCTTTCTCTCTCTCTCCCTCTCTTTCTTTTCTTTTCTTTTCTCTTTCTTTCTTTCTTTCTTCTTTCTTTCTTTCTTTTTTTCTTTCTTTTCTTTCTTTCTTTTCTTCTTTCAACAGGGTCTCTTACTGTCATCCAAGCTGTATTGTAGAAGATGGAGTGCAGTGGCAGGATCTCAGCACTGCAAACTTTGCTTCTCATTCTCCAGTGACCCTCCCACCTCATCTTCCCAAGTAGCTGGGACCACAGGCCATGCCACCATGCCTGGCTAATTTTTTTTTTTTTTTTTTTGTATTTTTGGTAGAGACAGGGTTGCACCATGTTGCCCTGGCTGGTCTGCAACTCCTAGGCTCAAGTGATCCACCTTCCTTAGCCTCCCAAACTGCTAGGATTACAGGTGTGAAACACCGTGACTAGTGAGTATTGTTCAAACCTCCCATTTTATAGATGAAGAAACTGATCTCATTAATAAACGTATTTGGAGAATTTGGATCAGAAGGCATATGAAATATAATAAAGTTTAATTTTCATTTAGCTACAGTGAACTTCTGCTTTGAGTAATTGCATTACAATGAATCTTGCAAAACAAGTAGGCTTCCAAGTCTTTTATTTTTGTAACAATTACTAACCCAAATACCACCCTAAATTACTGTAGCATTTAACCATGGCAACACAGGAGAAACAAAACCTTAATATGAAATCAGAGTCTCATGCACAAATAAAGTTTTCTCTATTAGCTAGGAATATTTAAACAATATAATGTGTACAGTTATTAATACTTTGTAGACAGACACTATTTCTATCATTACTTATCTGGATTCATAAGCACTTTTGCAAGTATTGCAAAGTCATGTGGCATCATCGTGACTTTGAGTTTATGAAATAATCAGTATCAAGTTCACTTGCCTTCAGATAATGTGAACTGCTATAATAAGTTCTAGACTTTATTTTAATGGATTTTCCACACATGATATCCATTTTTCTAATGGGTATCAATGCAGTCCTTTGTTTTATGAAAGCTCATGCTCTATCTGGTAATGGAAAGTAGAATTGTACACTCTTCTGTAGACTTAGCATGGCTTGAGGTGTCAGGATTGCCAAAATGCTAATAATTGGTTTATTGCATTCTTTTGTCACTGCTCTGAAGATTTCTCTAGACATTTTTCATTTGAAGCTGCTCCATTGATTTCTGTAACAGACAACAAAGCAGTGTCATCACTGCCATAACTATTGATGGGATATCGATATTGTAACTATTGACATTGAGCCTTGTGGCTGAATCAAGAGATCCAAAGGCTTGATTGAAAACTTCTAACATCAGCTGATCAAAAGTATTTTCTTAGCCAGACTTATTTGTTCCTTTATTAACTTACACAATAGACATGTATTAAGTACTTATTATATACCAAGCTCTGTTGTAGGTTCTGAGATTCCATAAATAAATAAATAGATAAATAAATAAATAAAGTAGTAATACTCTCTAGATGTTAACTTACAGACTTGTGGAAGAGACAGTGGAAAATGAGACAGGAAACAAGACACTCTGAGCATATGGAAACGAGTTTCTAGAAGTGGAGCTATTGAGGCCAGTCTTTAAAATGGAACGAAGTTTACCTGAATGAAAAAGAACACTCACCTCTTCTTCTTTTTTTTTTTCTTTTCTGAGACAGAATCTCACTCTGTCACCCAGGCTAGAGTACAATGGTGCAATCTAGGATCACTGCAACCTTCTCCTCATGGGTTCAAGCAATTCTCGTCCCTCAGTCTCCCAAGTAGCTGGGACTACAGGCAAGTGCCACTATGCCTGACTAATTTTTGTATTTTTAGTAGAGGTAGGGTTTTGCCATGTTGGCCAGGCTGTTCTCCAATTCCTGGTCTCCACATGATCCACCCTCCTAGGCCTCCCAAAATGCTGGGGTTACAGGTGTGAGCCACCAGTGGCATGTGGCCTGAAAAAGAACATTTCTGATTTTGACAACAGCATGTATAAAGGGCATAATATGAAGTAGCCCTGAATCTTAGGGAACTCTATTATATTGAGGCAACATAAAGTAGACAGGGAAGAGACAAAGATAAGCCTGGAAATGAGAGAGGCACATTTGTGAAGAGCATTGGAGATAGTGCTGTGGACAAAATTAAATTTACATTTTTGAAAGACAAATGTGGCTGAAGCAACAGGTGGATTGTAGGTTAAGACAAGCAACATTTGGACTATTAAATATTATAACACTATAACCTAGGTGAGAAATAGTAAACATTTCAAATAAAAGTAGTGGCAGAATGCATAAGGAAAACATTGTAGAAATGTTTAGTCAATGAAAGAGACTATACCAGATGTAAACAATAAGTGCTAAATAAAAGCTTAAAATGTCCTCCAGATTTATCCTGGTCTAGTTAAGAGCTAGTTTTGCTATTGAAGCAACCGGAAAGTATAAATGATGGTCAGGATTTAGTCACTGGGGCTAATATGAACAAGATTGTAGAGTTAGGCATGTAGAGTGAGAGACAAAATCAGGGTATATGAGCAGAGAGAGGAAAAAGAGTCTGTAAAGAATGCTAAGTAGTTATCAGAGACTCAGGGGGAGAGTCAAGAGTAAATGATGTTGAAGAAACCATAAAAAGAGACAACATGAAGAAAGAGATTTGTCTCAACCATTAAAATGCAAACAAAGGGCCGGGTGTGGTGGCTCAAGCCTGTAATCCCAGCACTTTGGGAGGCTGAGGAAGGTGGAACATGAGGTCAAGAGATGGAGACCATCCTGGCCAACATGGTGAAATCCTGTCTCTACTAAAAATACAAAAATTAGCTGGGCATGGTGGCGTGCACCTGTAGTCCCAGCTACTCCAAAGGCTGAGGCAGGAGAATCACTTGAACCCGGGAGGCAGAGGTTGTGGTGAACCGAGATCGTGCCACTGCACTCCAGCATGGAGAGAGAGCGAGACTCCGTTTCAGAAAAAAAAAAAAAAAATGCCCGCAAAGAAGAAAGGTAAACGTAAGAAACACCATTCTCTCTTAGGAGAAAATATCAGTAAATTAGAAGCAGTAATGATAAGCTGAAGGAATGAAGTTTTGAGTCCAGAATGCTCCAATCATAGTACTAGGCTCAGGGGAAAGCAAGATTTCAATTAAGGTAAATTGCTGAAGGAAGCATTCTACAGAAGCATGACAATGAGTGAAGTTTGTGTCCAGTACTTCCGGAAGTACAATGCACTGTGGAAAGCAACTTGGGAGCCAGCACTAGTGGAAGAAACCAGAAGATGTAATTTACATGTCAGTAATTGGCACTGCTTTGAAAGTTTTGGACAGAGCAATGGTATATTCAAAACCCTGTAACCAAAAGATTAATCTTCATTTTGGGAAGAGTTCAGACACGATTCTGTTTCAAATTGTACAACAAATTACTGGAAGTAGGGAACTCTACCCATTCATTACAAAGTTGAAGAATTTAAACCATCATTTTGATGAGGGCTCACTAAGTGCCAGTTATTAAGCTAAGAAATTTATATGCATTTTCACATGAATTAATGCATAAATAAGTTCCATGAGGTCCCCACTCTCTATACTCCCATTTTATGTTTGAAGTAACAGAGGTTTAGAATGTTTAAGTGACTTGCCAAAATCTTAATTTGGAAGTAACAGAAAATTCTAATGCAACTCAAGTATAAAATAGCACACAAAATCTTTTAGAAAGATTAGCCACACTGTCTTCCACAATGGTTAACTAATTTACATGCCCACCAATGGTGTAAAAGTGTTCCTATTTCTCTGCAACCTCAACAGGACCTGTTGTTTCTTGATTCTTTAATAATCACCATTCTGACTGGTGTGAGATGCTATCTCATAGTGCTTTTGTTACTAGGGGTTCTTGTTCTTAGAGTGCCCAAGATGGTGGCAGGCCACTTCCAAGATGGCGGCAAGCCTTTTGTTCTCTGACCTGGGGTTCTTGTCCTCAAGAATTCCAAGGAATGAAACTTTGGGCCATGCATGAATGTTATACCTCTATTAGGAGGAACCCCAGGCACTCAGCTGGCTCAGGAACAGTGTCAGGCCTCTAGCCCGACTGGGAGCAGCAATGGGCACCGCCTGGCTGGATCAGAAGTGCGGCGGACACCCTTCTACCCCAGAAGGGTGGAAATCAATGGCAGGTCTGGGACAGCTGTGAACAGCAGTGGTGGATGGCGAGCAAAGCTCAGCTCAAGCTGTAGCAAACACAGACCAGAAGAATGTGCAGTTGCAAGATTTAATAGAGTGAAAACAGAGCTCCCATACAATGGGAGGGGACTGAAAGGGGGTTGCCACTCCCTGCTCAAATGCCTGGGGTTTATATCCCAATCATTGTCTTTCCCCCTGTGCTTTTAGGCGATAGATGATTGGCTATTTCTTTACCTCCTGTTTTTGCCTAATTCGCATTTTAGTGAGCTCTCTTTACTACCTGATTGGTTGGGTGTGAGCTAAGTTGCAAGCCCCGTGTTTAAAGGTGGATGCGGTCACCTTCCCAGCTAGGCTTAGTAATTCTTAGTCAGCCTAGGAAATCCAGCTAGTCCTGTGTCTCTCAGTTTTGATTTGCATTTGTCTAATTATCAGTGATGTTGAGCCTTCCTTCATATGTTTGTTGGCTGCACAAATGTTTTCTTTTGAGAAGTGTCTGTTTATGTCCTTTGACCACTTTTTAATGGGGTTGTTTGTTTTTTCTTGTAAATTTGCTTATGTTTCTTGTAGATTCTGACCCAGCAATCCCATTACTGGGTATATACCCAAAGGAATATAAATCATTCTATTACAAAGATATACGCTTGCAAATGTTCATTGCAGCACCACTCACAATAGCAAAGACATGAAATCAACCCAAATGCCCAACAATGATAGACTGGATAAAGAAAATGTGGTACAAACACACCATGGAATACTATGTAGCCATAAAAGGGAATGAGATCATGTTCTTTGCAGGGACATGGGTGAAGCTGGAAGCTATTATCCTCAGAAAAGTAACCGCATGTTCTCACTTGTAAGCGGGAGCTGAACACTGAGAACACAGGGAGGGAAACAACACTCATTGGGGCCTGTTGGGGGAGGGTGGGGGAGGGAGAGCATCTGGAAAAATAGCTAATGCATGTTGGGCTAAATACCTAGGTGATAGGTTGATAGGTGCAGCAAACCACCATGGCACACGTTTACCTATGTAACAAACCTGCACATCCTGCACATGTCCTCCAGAACTTAGAGTAAAATAAAATAAAATTTTTAAAAAATAGCACATAAAAGAGGATTTATGGTTTCAAATTATCAAAATGCTTGGAGGATGAACTTCTGGCAGGTTTAGTTGAGACTCTTTATTTTTCTCCCCTGTGACACTAAAGTTTGTGGCCTCTGGTCTGTGACAATCTTGTCAATTATCCACAGAGGTGTTAAATGGCAATAGCAATTCCAGGCATCTGCACATCAGTGTCCGAAGGGGGTACAAGAGAATTTTCTAGAAGTTCCCAGCATATGTCTCTTCTGATTTTGTTGGCTTTAAGTAGGTTACATTCATACTTCTTAAACACGCATTATTAGCCAGAAAAAAAGGGGGAAGAATTTGGGTTTGTTGCTTTAGACCTAAGCCAATTGCCTCCATGAAATTCAACATCTAATGTACATGGAGGTATAATGGAGATGGTGATATATTAATATAAATATGAACAGTTCATAGGATTAGGTGGGACTAATTTTTGGAGGATTGCCACACTGTCCACTAAAATTATATTATCATTACAGAATTGAAATAACTTGCACAAGATCATATATTTAATTACAGTGTTGATTTTAGGATTTAGTACTTCTAACTGCTAGTTTATACACACACGTATATACTATATATGCATATATATAATACACATATGTATGTTTTTTTCTTTTACTTAAAACTACATAGAGAGATAGATGCAGATAAATGAATAGGAAGATGATAGATAGATAGATAGATAGATAGATGGATGATAGGTAGGTGATTGATATATAGGTAGATAGATGATAGATCGATAGATAATAGATGATAGATAGATAGATAGATAGATAGATAGATAGATAGATAGATAGATAGATCTTACTCTTAACATGGCAGAGGCATCTGATCAAATCAAAATAAATAATGTTAGGTATGTAGGGTGTACATTAAACTCTAATTAGTCACAGGAACTGGTCCTTAACACCTTGGCCAAATACATTTGCATCAAAACTGATTTATTTGCCCTATAATAATATGATGCTACACAGAAAAAATACAAAGCTTACTGAATTATCGCTGAGAGCCCCTGAGTGAGTATATCCCATACTCAGACATTTCATCATTATTTCTATGGAATTTCCTAACAGCAAGTATGAAAATAATTTCAAATGACATTAGGTATAAAGAAGGCAACACCATAAGTTGGAGTTCAATGTGTGTCACTGGACGCAGGCATTAGCATTTGTATTGATATTTATGGTACTATAGAATTCTTGGCACACAGCTGAGAGATAAAGTGCTCATAAAAATGGATTCACTTATCCATCAAAGTAGGTTTGAATCACAAGGTGTAAATATGTATAGTCTGAAATATTTAGGACAGATCTAAGAGGAAGGTTTTATAACGTTAGAGTGCTTCTGGGGCCTTGGACTGAATACCAAATCATAAGTTGCTGTCACAGCATTAGATGTGCTGGGGCTACTCAGGGCCCACGCTGAGCAAGGTCGGGGTGTTAAGCAGAGAAAAACCAAATTGGATGCTCTGATCTTAGAAGTACAGTTCAAGGAGGCATCATTTCTACTCTGGGGGATTTTTATGACATGTCTTTTCTAGTCCATCTTAAAGGTTTTCATTATTTCATGAAGACTTAACAAATGTATAATTCTTTTCCCTTGGGTCTCTAATAAAGTGATCCAATATCATTATTATCTACTTGTTGGCATTTTAATATATTTTAAATATATATTCAAAACCTCCCTTTTCTAATACACAGAAGATAAATTCCAGATCAGTATTTGAATATTCAGGGGTGAGAGTTGAGGATAGGAGTCTTGCAAGTGTCACACTTTCGGAAGTCATACCCTACACGTGGTGCAGGAGAACAGAGATTGAGTATGTAGGTATTTGCATTATTTTATTTTATTTTACTTTTGAGATGGAGTTTTGCTCTTGTTGCCTAAGCTGGAGTGCAGTGGTGCAATCTCGGCTCATTGCAACCTACGCCTCCTGGGTTCAAATGATTCTCCTGCCTCCCGAGTAGGTGGGATTACAGGCGTGTGCCACCACGCCCAGCTAATTTTTTGTATTTTTAGTAGAGAGGGGTTTCTCCATGTTGGTCAGGCTGGTCGCGAACTTTTGACCTCAAGTGATCCACCCGCCTCGGCCTCCAAAGTGCTGGGATTACAGGTGTGAGCCACTGCGCCCAGCGGTATTTGTTTTATTTTACATACCCTAGAATAGCAGTACTACGTGGAAAACTCTATTATAATTCCTTTATATGTAAATATTAACACATTTAATACCACTAGAAAATTGATGCTATGTTTTTTCACCTTTTCTGCAAATGAGGGAACTAAAGCAAAGATAAATTTGCTTGAGACCACACAATTGTTTAATGGTTAATCTGGAATTCAGAAGTTAGGCCACAGAGACAAAGATTATAATCACAATGTCAAGCTATGCAGCCTCTCCTAATTGATAAGTTCTTCTAGGAGAATTCTTAGCCCTCACTATTCCAGACTCATCTTCAGAAATTTTTTTAAAAATTCTGTTACCTGTCACACTGAAGAACAATTAAATTAAACTGTCTGATGAGAGCCCAAGAATTGGTGTTGTTAGTCATTCTTGTGGCTGGGAATGGTGGCTCATGCCTGTAATCCCAGCACTTTGGAATGTCGAGGTGGGTAGATTGTTTGATCCTAGGAGTGTGAAACCAGCCTGAGCAACATGACAAAATTCTGTCTCTACCAAAAATACAAATATTAGCTGGGTGTGGTAGCATACGCCTATAGTCCCAGCTACTTGGGAGCCTGAGGTGGGAGAATTGCTTGAGTTCACCAGGTTGGGGCTGCAGTAGGCTGTGATTATACCCCTGTACCCCAACCTGGGTGACAGAGTGAGACACTGTATCAAAAACAAAAACACACTAATTCTTGTAAAATACCTTATATGCTGTCTTGGCTGAAGATAAAGAGGATGGAGAAGCCATTTATGAATCTAAGCAAACAGAAAGAGGACCCACAGAACAAAGCAGATCTTATTGTTATAATCTATTTTGTACTGTTAAAACAAAATACCCAAGACTGGGTAATTTATCATGAACAGAAATCTACTTGGCTGACAGTTCTGGAGGCTGAAAAGTCCAGGATTGAATGGCTACATCTGGACAAATCTTTCTTGCTGTGCTATCCTATGGTGGAAGGTGAAACAGCAAGAATGCACACTCATGTGGAAATCACTTTTTTTCTGCCATTTTAATTCTATCCAGGCCCCCAGCTAATTGGATGGTCCCTGCCCTCATTGAGGGTGGATCTTCCTCACTCAGTCCACTGACTCACATGCAAATCTCCTCTGGAAACACCCTCACAGACACACACAGAAGTAGTGCTTTCCCAATTCTCTAGGTGTATTAGACCATTTTCACGCTGTTGATAAAGACATACCCAAGACTGGGCAATTTTCAAAAGAAAGAGGTTTAATTGAACTTACAGTTTCACATGGCTGGGGAAGCTTCACAATCATGGCAAAAGGCAAAGAGGAGCAAGTCACTTCTTACATGGATGCCCGTAGGTGAAGAGAGAATGAGGAAGACGCAAAAGCAGAAACCCCTGATAAAACAAACCATCAGATCTCGTGGACTCATTTACCACCAGAAGAACATTATGGGAGAAACTGCCCCCATAATTCAGTTTTCTTCCACCAGGTCCCTCCCACAACACATGGGAATTATGGGAGTACAATTGAAGATAAGATTTGGGTGGGGACACAGAGCCAAACCATACCACTAGGTATTCCTTAATTCAGTCAAGCTGACACCTAAAATTAACCATCACAAATCCAACCCTTATTAACTTGGCACCCATATGCATTTCCTTAAGCCATACTTAATCTCCAAATAAAGACAATAGCAAGGTAATAATTCCCCCTAATATGATACAAGTATCCTTTGTACAATTAAAAATAATTTAATTCCTTCCCCTGAAGAGGAGATAAAGTCTTTGGGTGATGCTTACCCTTTGCCTAATGTCCCATAACTTAAATGCTATGATATAAAATTAACAATACTTAAAGACTAATATAAAATCAATATATTTTATATTTGATGATGAAAGAATAAAACATAAAGAAAAACAAGTATTTCTTAATATATGTATAAATACACATAAACATATTCTAAAAAATATAGAAAAAATACTTATGATAATTAGTCTTCATTTCTACAACTAGTCATGTGCTCATAGCTGGCATTTATTAACATCTTCTTCTACTTCCCATTCTGTATTCCCTTTGCCTTCCACAAGTACATCAGCTGTTCATGGTTCTTTACAGGAAGACTCTGGGTCATTCCTGGTCCTACATAGATTGAATTATTGTAACTTCCCATTGACCTTAATCATAGGGCATGATAAAACTAGAGAAAACCTAAGGGATCTTCTGTATTCTAGACATGCTCTACCTTACCTCTATTGTGGAGTAGTAGTCCAATTTCACCTCACTATT
This sequence comes from Homo sapiens, assembly GCF_000001405.40. Classification (NCBI taxonomy): domain Eukaryota; kingdom Metazoa; phylum Chordata; class Mammalia; order Primates; family Hominidae; genus Homo; species Homo sapiens. The sequence continues at coordinate 21,869,160 of NC_000005.10, read as the reverse complement.
CTAGATCAATCACCCCAGCCAAGATTATAACTCCCTTCTTAGACTGTTGACTTAGATGCATGAGGAGCCCAAAGTATCCTGGTGGCAGTCTTAGCTTTGAGTTTAATGGAATCACTGTTATGTGTCATGGTGGAAGCATTCCTTTCTCTGGAACTAAGACCTGCAGGCCAGCAGAGCACAAAGTTGCAGGAACAAGAAGCAAAAATTTGTTAGTGGGTCACCAGGGGTAATGGTGAGTGGTGCCAATAATCCACCCTGGCCCTCAAAATTAATGTCCTTTTCACAATCAAATGCATTCATTCTATGCCAGTAGCCCCTAAAGTCTTAACTTGTTCCAACATCAACTCCAAAGTCCAAAGTCCAAAATTCCATCTAAACCAGATATGGGTGAGATTCAAACCGTGATCCATTCTGAAGCAAATTCCTCTTTAGTTGTGAGCCTGTGAATTTACAAGTTACCTGCTTCCAAAATACAATGGTGGGACAGGCATAGCATAGACATTCCTATACCAAAAGGGAGAGTTAGCCAAGAAGAAAGGGGTAACTATTCTCAAGTAAGTCCAAAGCCCAACAGGGTAAACAACATTAAGTCTTATAGGTAGAGAATAATGTCTGCACACATGGGGGTAGAATTTGGGCCCCCAAGGCCTCAGAAAGCTACACTCCTATGACTTTGCTGGGCTTGGTATACCCAGCACATCTTAAGGGCTAGAGTCTTATGCCTATAGCTTTCCCAGTTTGGAGTAGCATGCTGATGGCCCTACAGTTTGGTTTCTTGAGACCAGCTCTACTCTCAGGGATCCACTATGCTTTGTCTGGTTGGGGACTCTCTGACATGGTGTATCGGTCTGTTTTACACTGCTGATAAAGGCATACTGGAGACTGGGCAATTTACAAAAGAAAGAGGTTTAATTGGACTCACAGTTCCACATGGCTGGGGAGGCCTCACAATCATGGTGGACGGTGAAATTTACAAAAGAAAGAGGCAATTTACAAAAGAAAGAGGTTTAATTGGACTCACAGTTCCACATGGCTGGGGAGGCCTCACAATCATGGTGGACGGTGAAAGGCATGTCTCCCATGGCAGCAGACAAGACAAGAGTGAGAACCAAGTGAAAGGGGTTTCCCCTTATAAAACCATCAGATCTTTTGAGACCTATTCACTACCACGAGAACAGTATGGGGGAAACTGCCCCTGTGATTCAATGACCACCCACTGGTTCCCTCCCACAACATGAGGAAATTATGGGAGCTACAATTCAAAATGAGATTTGGGTGGGGACACAGCCAAACCATATCATTTCACCCCTTAAATATCATGTCCTCACATTTAAAAGCCAATCATGCTTTCCCAACAGTCCCCCAAAGTCTTAACTCCTTTCAGCATTAACTCAAAAGTCCACAGTCCAAAGTATCATCTGAGACAAGGCAAGTCCCTTCCACCTATGAACCTGTAAAATCAAAAGCAAATTAGTTACTTCCTAGATACAATGGGGATATAGGCATTGGGTAAATACAGCCATTCCAAATGAGAGAAATTGGCCAAAACAAAGGGGCTACAGGCCCCAAGCAAGTTCAAAATCCAGCAGGACAGTCAAATCTTAAAGTTCCAAAATGATCTCCTTTGACTACATGTCTCACATCCAGGTCACACTGATGCAAGAAGTGGGTTCCCATGGTGTTGGGCAGCCCCGCCCTGGTGTTTGGCAGCCCCGCCCTGGCTAGACATCCAGGCATTTCCATACATTTTCTGAAATCTAGGCAGAGGTTCCCAAGCCTTAATTCTTATTTTATTTTATTTTTTTGAGACAAAGTCTCACTCTTGTCCCCCAGGCTGGAGTGTAATGGCGTGACCTCAGCTCACTGCAACCTCCGCCTCCTGGGTTCAAGCCATTCTCTTGCCTCAGACTCCTGAGTAGCTGGGATTACAGGCACACACCTCCACACCTGGCTAATTTGTGTATTTTTAGTAGAGACATGGGTTCACCATGTTGGCCAGACTGGTCTCGAACTCCTGAAATCAGGTGATCCACCCTTCTTGGCATCCCAAAGTGCTGGGATTACAGGTGAGAGCCACCGCGCTGGCCCAAGCCTCAATTCTTGATTTCTGTGCACTGGCAGGCTCAATACCATGTGAATGCTGCCAGGGCTTGAGGCTTGACCCCTCTGAAGCCATGGCCCAGAGCTGTACATTGGCCCTTTTTAGTGTCTGGGACACAGAGCACCATGTCCCTAAACTGCACACAGTAAAGGGACCCTGGGGCAGGCCCACAAAACCATTTTTTTTCCTCCTAGACCTCCAGATCTGTGATGGGAGGGGCTTCCACAAAGGTCTCTGACATGCCCTGGAGACATTTTCTTCATTGTCCTTGTGATTAATATTTGGCTTCTCGTTACTTATGCAAATTTCTGCAGCCAGCTTGAATCTCTCCTCTGAAAATGGGATTTTCTTTTCTATCACATTGTCAGGCTGCAAATTTCCCAAACTTTTATGCTCTGCTTCCCTTATAAAACTGAATGGCTTTAACAGCACCCAAGTCACCTCTTGAATACTTTACTGGTTAGAAATTTCTTCCACCAAGTACCCTAAATCATCTCTCTCAAGTTCAAGCTCCACAAATCTCTAGGCCACGGGAAAAATACAGCCAATCTCTTTACTAAAACATGACAGGAGTCACCTTTGCTCCAGTTGCCAACAGATTCCACATCTCCATCTGAGACCACCTCAGCCTGGATTTCATTGTCCATATCATTAACAGTGTTTTGGTCAAAGCCATTCAACAAGTCTCTAGGAAGTTCCAAACTGTCCCACGTTTTCCTGTCTTCTTCTGAGCCCTCCAATCTGTTCCAACTTCTGTTTGTTACCCAGTTCCAAAGTCGCTTCCACATTTTCAGGTATCTTTACAGCAGTGCCCTACTCTACTGGTACCAATTTGCTGTATTAGTCCTTTTTCACACTGCCAATAAAAACACTGGAGTCTGGGCAATTTACAAAAGAAAGAGATGTAATGGACTCACAGTTCCACATGACTGGAGAGGCCTCACAATCCTGGTGGAAGGTGAAAGGCATGTCTCACATGGTGGCAGACAAGACAAGAGTGAGAACCAAGTGAAAGAGGTTTCCCTTCATAAAACCATCAGATCTCATGAAACTTATTTACTACCATGAGAACAGTATGGTGAAAACCATCCCCATGATTCAATTATCTCACATGGTGTCCCTCCCACAACATAAGGGAATTATGGGAGCTACAATTCAAAATGAGATTTGGGTGGGAACACAACAAAACCATATCACATGGCCTCATTCGTACAGATGTATAGGGCATTGCCATAGCTGGGGCTGTCTGGGGTGAGTTTGCCCTTGTGACAAGTATGTGACTAGGTCCCCAGGGTTTCTGTGACATTCTTTTAACTCTAGGTGAAAGCTACCATGATCTTACAGCCCACTCACTCTGCATGCCTCCAGAATAAACACCCTACAGCCAAGGTTTACAGCTTGTACCTTCCTGAGTGGTGGGTCAAAGCTCCCCTGGGCCCACTTGAGACATGGCTGGGGTGGCTGAAGAGCATTGTGCTGGAATGTGGGAAGCAGAGTCCCTAGATAGTTCTCAGCAGTGAGTCTGTGGAGGGCACTCTGGATCTATCCATGAAAACCATTCTGCCCTCCCAGAGCACTGGGCTTGTGATGGCAAAGGAAGCCTTGAGGTGCTCTGAAATGCCTTCTGAGTCCTTCAACCAGTGTTTTGAAGAATAGCACCTGCCCCCCTTCTTTCCATAGTAATCTCTTTAGCAAAGGGTAGCTTGGCCACCCCCTTAGTTTGATCTCATAAACACACTTTTCATTTATTAGATGGCTAGGCTAAAATACTCAAAAATTTTACTTTCTGCCTTAATTTAATTTTAAGTTCTGTCTTTAAATCATCCTCTCCTCTCTCATTTTACTTCAAGTGGCTTAAAGAAGCCATGCAGCACACTAAATGCTGTGGTGCTTAGATATTTCTTCTGCTGAGTATCTTAGGTCATTGCTCTTAAGTTCTACTTTCCACAAAGTCCTAGGATATGAAAACAATTCTACCAGTTATTTGAAACATGAAATAGCACTCTCTTTTTTTGTCATGCATCAGTTCTGAAAAAGATTCATGTCATTCTTCAAAGAAATTTACATTAACTCTCCTCTGGTTTGTATTTCATAATCCTGTATGACAAGGACTACCTTTATTCCAGTTTCCAATACCTTGTTCTTAAGTTCCATCTCAGACTGCATAAGAACAACCCTTACTGCTCATATTTCTATGAACATTCCAATTACAACCACTTAAAAACTCTCTAAGAACTATCAGACTCTACCTACATTTCTTTTCTTCTGAGCCCTCACCAGAATTTCTCTTAATACTGTGTTCATGGTGATCTAGGTTTTTTCATAGTTTGTTCCTCTAAATTCTTCCAGTCTCATCCATTACGCAGTTTCAAAGTCACTTTCACATTTTCAGGTGTTTGTTATAGCAACAACTCCAATTGGCATCAATTTTCTGACCAATTAGTCTGTTTTGTGCTCCTGTAATAGAATACCTAAGACTGGGAAGTTTATCATGAAGAGAAATTCATTTGACCTATAGTTCTGGAGGACAGGCAGTCCAAGATTGAGAAGTTGCATCCAGTATGGGCACTCTTTCTGCATGATTCCATGAGGGAAGGTAGAAGGGCAAGAGAGAACGTACATGCAAAAGAGAAAATAGCTTTTCTTCCATCTTTTTGTTATTGTTGTTCTATTTGGGCTTCCAACTGATTGTATGGTATCTACCCACACTAAGGGTGGATCTTTCTCATCCAATCCACTGACTCACATGCAATCTTCTCTGAAAACACCCTCACAGACACATCGAGGAGTAGTGCTTTACCAGTTCTCTAGGTATTCCTTAATTCAGTCAAGTTGACACTTAAAATTAGCTAGCACACCCTTGTTTCAATGTCTTATAGTATTCCATTCCTTTGTAGCATCTTACATGCACACACACACACACACACACATATTCTTTCTGTTTTACATTTCTCTGCTGCATAATGCCTTTTTTATATAATAGAATGTACAATTTTTTAATTTTATTTGAAAATAAATTTCAATTTTCTTTTGCATTTTTATTTTGAAAGCAACTTTAGTATATTTATAATTCTGAAATAAGAATTAGAAAATATAATTTTCCTAATTCTGTTTTATCTCTAGATCATAATGCAATGTATATACACAAGACAAAAGCAAAAAGAAACTGATTTGCTACATGAAATCTCTCTCTTTTTGTTACATGCATCAGTTCTGAGAAACGTTCATGTTATTCTGCAAAGAAATTTACATTAACTCTCCTGGTTTGCATTCCATAAATTGGCTAAGTCTTCTTGCCTATGTGATTTTTCTTAAAGTAATGCTGCTTACTTTTGGTTGTACTCTCTAAATTGAAAACAGTGAAGTACATTAGAAAATTCAATATCAGCAGAACCCCCAATTTAGTATTGAAAATGACTCTAAAGATCATAACCAGCTACCAGGTCACTCTTTACAGAATTCTGTGTATTGTATTTCTGTCTTTTCTGTGTAAAAGTCTATGTGAGTACTATACATATCTAATCAATAAACATTTATTTTGGACTTAATGACAGATCTCTGCTAGGTGCTGGGTGTATAAAGATAAATATGATAAGGCTGTTGGTGTAAAATTGTTTTACTATAGTAAGAAAAAACATGTACTGAGTTTTGAAAGCTCAAAATATTCTAAGTGTGATGAGATTATAGAGGAGTGAACAAATTATCTCTGTTTGAGATCAGAAATGAAAGAGTTCACACAAGTGACATGGACCTGGACATCAACGGTGAGGCAAATGTCCTCCAGGTAGCAGAATCACCTATTCAAGACCGCAGAGGCATGAAAGAGCCTCATCATAAACAGTAAATAAGTGTGAGTAGTCACAGCATGGGGTCTCTGGCAGCACAGTTGGAATCTAATCTACAAGGCACATTTGAAATCTGTTCATGTCACGCTGTTCAGAACATGTCAATGAGTTTAGATGATTTTTTAAAAATAGGGATAGAAACCCCTTAGAGCTTTATGTGTTTTTGTTCTGTTTTGTTTATTTCCATTTTATTTTTGTAATCAATGAAAGTAATAGGATCAATCTTGTGAGTTGGCTCAAAGACTCCCATGTTCCTATGTTAAAGGAACTGAAGGGGCTGAAGGAGAAGGCAGACAGGATTCATTTCAGCTTTCCAATTGTGAGAAGGTGAGGACCTCAACCTGTTAAGACAATGGCAGAGTGATAAAAAGCAAGAGCACATGCAATTACTAGAATATTCCTATACATATGGAAAATCTTAAAAATATTTTCTAGAGGCCATATATTCAATATAATCTGCTTATATTTATCTATTTTCTGTCTTCCTAGCAAGTTTATTTAATACTTCCAATGGAAATAATACCTAGAATACAAAACTGTCATGCTAGAAGTAGCATTTTACAAAATAAATAATTATGTAACATACTTTTTATATTGTTCATTGAAAGTAGCATCTGGTGCATAGTATACAAATGTAAATACTTATTGATTGAAAGAAGACATGAATGAATTAACAAAATTGATTGAAAGAAGACATGAATGAATTAACTATGACTACTTTAACTGAAACTGTGACTTAGTGGGGCTCAGTTCCACTCTCAACTTCCTACCTTTTGGATGAGAATGTCTTTAAGTACCAATAAGAATGATTTTAACATCACTGGCCTTCAAGTATTGGATTGTAAAATGGAAACATTGTGCCAGATGATTCTTAAAATTTATCCCAAGCCTTTATATTATTAGTCTTAATTAAATCAAATAAATAAAAGATGATTATTACATGATACATAAAATAGCAGAAGCAAGCCCTCTGTAGTTATGTCATGAAATTAAGCTGGCTTGCCTGGTCTGGGCTTCAGAACCCATACACTCATTGTATAGAAATTCAGAAGACTAAACTATAAAACCCACATAAGTTTACCAAACACAACTAAAGGATAATAGTTGTTAAGGTGTATATACCACACATGCACACATAGATATAAACACATTCACACGAAAGAAAACCATTTAAAATAACCACATAAAAATGAAACCAAATAAAGATAAGTTAGTAAATTAACCTTTCAACAGATAGACACAGATATAATACATGAAAAAAGTGGGTTAAGAAAGAGTGCAGCTTATACACACACACACACACACACACACACACTAGAAATGACCAAAAACTACATGCTGTTAAAGTTCAAGCATAAAATAAAAAATACATATAATTAGGATATGGGCTGATGAGAATGTTAGAAAATATACCTTGTTGATAGGAATGTAAAGAAGTACAATTTCTGATAGTCACCTTGACAATACAGCTCAATATGTTGAATCTATATGCTTTTTGATCCAGCTGTGGCAATGGCAAGAATTTACTAATAGCAGAATTGTTTGTAATAGAGGAAATAAACAAAATCCTCTTAACAAAGTGTCCGCTGAAAGGAAATTGGTTAAAAATTGTGAGATGGATTTTTATGTGCTTTTATAAAATGCCTGTTCAATATATTTAATGAATAAAATAAGGTTCAAGAAATTACACTGGAAAACAACAAAATTTAATCACAGATGAAAATACTATGTAAATCAAATCGTCATTACAAATTGTAAAGTACTACTCACTTTGTTACATTCTCACTCAGTATATTTTTATTTTAGTTAAGCTTTCATGTAATTTTAAATTAATGCAATTGCACCATACAATAAGTATAAATTGTGTGCAAGTATACTAAATTTCTGTTTTGTATTGGGGAAAAATTAATGTGTAGTTAGTTATATCTCTTTCATGTTAATAAAAACTGAAATACAGGTTAGTGGGTAAGTATACTAGATAGGTAGAGATAATGAGATAAAAATAAATCAATGTAGAAAGGGTAGTTAAACCCCACAGGAGTCCTAACAGTGGCTTAAAAAGTCATACATGACCATTTTCTCTGCCACCTCTTCCATCTGATTTTTGATCCGCAGTGAAGGTGGCTCTGATATTCCTGAGGTTTCCCTCAACACTTTCAGGACCTTTTTCACCCAGAGCTGCCTCTGCATGGAATTAAAACTCACAGAAGCAGTGAGTAGAATTGTGGTGTATTAGGGTTTTCTACAGGGACAGAACTAATGGATCGATGTATGTATGAAGGGGGGTTTATTAAGGAGTATTGATTCACAAGATCGCAAGGTGAAGTCCCACAATCAGCCATCTGCAAGATAAAGAGCAAGGAAGCCAGTTCAAGTCCCAAAACCTCAAATGCAGGGAAGCTAACAGTACAGCCTTCAGTCTGTAACTGAAGGCCTAAGAGCCCCTGACAAACCACAGGTGTATGTCCAAGAGTCCAAAAGCCAAAGAACTTGGAGTCTGATATTTGAAGGCAGGAAGCATCTAGCACAGGAGACGGATGAGGGCCAGAAGACTCAGCAAGTCAGCTCCTTCCACCTTATTCTGACTGCTTTATTCTAGCTGCACTGGCAGCTGATTAGATTGTGCCCACCCAGATTGAGAGCAAGTGAGCTTCTCCCAGTCCACTGACTCAAATGTTAATCTCCTTTGGCAACAACCTCACAGACACATCCAGTAAAAATAATTTGCATCCTTCAATCTAATCAAGTTGACACTCTATATTAACCATCACAAGTCCACCTCTTGTCAACTTGAACCCATACACAACTCCTGAAGTCATACATAATCCCCAAATAAAGACAACAATAAGGTCATAATTACACCTAACTTAATACAGTTATCCCTCATACAACCCGAAGCACACTAATCCTTAACCTAAATGCTATTACATAAAGTTAACAACACTTAAATGCTGATATGAAATCAATAAATCTTGTGTCACATGATAAAGAAAATGAAGATATTTTTCTTAGTACAAATGTATACATGCACAAACATATTCTTAACAAAATAAAGAAAAAGTATTCATGACAATTACAGTACTCATTTCTGCAACGAGTCACGTGGTCGTGGCTGGTATAGATGATGACCTTCTTCTACTACCCATTCTGTATTCCCTTTTTCTTCAGCAAGCACCTCAGCAGGTCATGTTTTTTTTTTACCTGGTGGAGTGACCCAAACCTTCATTTCTGAAGAGTCCGGGCCAATTGTGTCTGCCTGGATTGGGTGGTTGTAGTTTCCCATTGATGTTAATCACAGGCCATGGTAATACTAAGAGATGCCCTAAGAGATTTCCTGTATTCCACACATACTCTTCTTTACCTCCATCGTGAAGTAGTAAACTGATTTCACCTTGATAATCCAGGTCAATCATGCCAGCCAACACTGTAACTCCCTTCTTAGCCTGTTAACTTAGAGTTAGCAGGAGCCCAAACTGGCCAGGTGGCAATCTTAACTTCCAGTTTAATGGAATCATTGTTGTATCTCCTGGTGTCAGCATTTCTCCCTCTGGAACTAAGACTACTAGGCCAGCAGAATGTAATGTCGCAGAAACAGGAAGCAAGAAGTTTGCTAGTGGATCACTAGGGGTGATGGTGAGTGGTTCCGTGTCCACCCTTTGATTTCTGGACTGGTGAATCCTGGCTATGCGAGAAATGGTACCATATATTGGACACTGATTCAGAGCATATACAGCCTTCTGGAGAACTGATTGGATTGAAGGCAGAACCAGGTGGAGGTAATCAGATCATGGAGGCGGTTTCCCCCATGCTGTTCTCATGATAGTGAGTGGGTTTTCATGAAATCTGATGTTCTTATAAGGGGCTTTTTCCCCTTTGCTTGACACTTCTTCTTCCTGCTCCCCTGTGAAGAAGGTGCCTTTCTTCCCCTTCACCTTCCCTCCTGATTGTAAGTTTCCTGAGGGCTTCCCAGCCATACTCAACTATGAGTCAATTAAACCTTTTTTCTTTATGAATGACCCAGCCTCTGGTATTTCTTCATAGCAGTATGAGAACAGACTAATACAGGTGGTTAGGGGAAACTGAGTGACTAGGGAGATGTTGCTCGAAGTATACACAATTTCAGTTAGACAGGAGAAATAAATTCTGGACATCTAGCACACAACATGGTGACTCCAGCTAATAGGAATATATTGTATTCTTGAAAATTGCTAGGAAAGTAGATTTTAAGTGTTCTGACTACATAAAGGGATACATATGTAAGGGAATCCATAAGTTAATTAGCTCAGTTTAGTCATTCCACAATGTATACATATTTCAAAACGTGCTCTATACAAGAAATACATACAATATTGTCAAGTAAAGAATAAATAAATTAGGGGGAAAAGGAAAGTGCAAAAAATTATTCAGGTCTCTACATAAATGAAATTTTACAAAATTGCTTTTCCTGATTACCATCTAAAATCTCTCACCTCGAATCTGTTTCTCCTCCCATTCCCCTTTAGATAAGATATAAGATTTCAGGAGTTGGTCTCTCAATTTTGTTCAAGGTGTTTCCCTAGCACCTTGGACAGTGTGCCTGGCACTTCATATACTCATTAACTTGAGTGGAGTAATTACAAACTATTAAATCGTTCTGTGCATTTGTGTCTGTGTAAATGTATTGTCTGACCATATAAGACATTACATGTATGAATTCTCAAATGTATTGTCTGACCATATAAGATATTATATGTATGAATTCTCAAAATTGAATCTAAAAAGTGAAACATTATACTTTTTATTAGTGTTTTCAACATAATTTGGACAAAAAATATTGACTCAAATTTAAGTTAATTCATCTAGGTAATGTATGCCTGTTTAATAAGTCTATCAGAGTTTTATTATGATATGAATGTTTGCTTGCGAATTACTGAGATCACATTATGTTATGACTATAATTTTACAACATAGAAATAAATTATGCTTTACTAAGTTGTTAAATTTCCACATATAGTTTAACATATACATATCTGTATACTAAAATGATATGTTATGAACTGACTTGAATCCTCCTGAAATTCATATGTGGAAGCTCTAACCATGAATGTGACTGTATTTGGAGATAGACCCTTTCAGGTGGTAATTAAGGTTAAATGAAGTCCTAAGGGTGGGTCCTAATCCAATAGAAGTGGTGACCTTATTAAAAAAAAAAGGGAGATACAACAGAGAGGAGATCCTCTCTCTGTCTCTCTCTCTCTCTCTGTCTCTGCCTCTCTCCCTCTCTCTGTCTGAGCACAGAGGAAAGGGCATAGGAGAACACAGTGAGAAGCCAGGAAGAGAGGTCTCATCAGAAACCCAATTTTTCTGCTCTTTGATCTCAAACTTCCTGTGTCCAAAATTGTGAGAACGTAGATTTCTATTGTTTAGGACACCCAGCCTGTGGTATTTTGTTATTGCAGCCTGAGCTGACCAATACAATATCCAAATCGGATCTCATGTGAATTCTAACTCATAGTCATTTAAATGTTAGTGATCACTTATTTAGTTGGAGTTTGTATCATGTGGGCATCTCCTGATGCCTCTTCGTCATAGTTCTGTCATACTCAATGATCAGTTTCTCTGTTCTTTGCTTTATCATAGTTTTATAAATATTTATTCCCTTTGAGTGACAGTATAAGATATAGAATATAGTTATTACTATAAAATAACTTTTATTGCTGGCTTTGTTACTAAATATACACTAATTTGTTACTGAACAAAGCAGTGTTATATGGGAACTTGAAGTGACTTGATACTCTCCATTGCAAATTCTGCACTCTGGCCCTGACCACTTATACAAGAGTGTTTTCTCTATGAGCTGCATTCTCTCTGCAGATATAACCATTTAGAGTGGTTATATTGTCATCCCTGGATTCAAATGATAAGAGAATAAATTTCAAGCTCACTGCTACATACCAGACTACTTCAGATTCTGTGCAAATCATTGACTGTATTATTTCCTTGTGGCACATTAAACATGCCCCAACCACAACCTCCTGCTCTTACCTCCTGGGTATTTAGTGTTTAATAGTGTCAGGAACAGCTGGTGTGCTATCCAAGCACTGAAAAAGGTAGTCCTCGGAGATTTGCATGCTCCAGGCAATTGACCGAGACTTCTTAATGGAAAGAGTATGAAATCTCTGTCTTTTGCATGAGTTTGGTGACAGTCATCAAGCAGCTGACAAAGAAGCTGCTATCGTGGTGTTTAGTTCCATTCTTGTAAACACCCAGAAAGGCAATCTTTAAGAACTTTTGGAGAATTTACATTGGAATCTGCTCTTTCACTAAAGAAGGATTAACCTATACTGTAATTCAGTGGACAATTACTTTTAATTCTATAGATACAGCTGAAGAAATATGATAGGAATGCAGTTATTCTTGCTATCCAGTGATCCTTTTAAGTAGCACAAAGTGGGGTTTTATGAAAAAATATTTGCAACTTCGATGCATTAATGAAGTATTTTCCAATTCACTCCTTTAAATATTTGAGCTGTAAAAATAATTAATATAAACAATTTAATACAACTATTAGAAGAACATATTTGTTCAGCATAGTGGAGGGTCATGTAAACATTAAAAACAAAAATGTGAAAGTAAAGACAATACGTGTTCATCTTTATTTTCCCGACTATAAATTGCAATACGGTATTAGTTTGGCAAATTTTATTAATGTTTTTCACTAAATATTTCTTATTTCTCAAATATTTTAATTTCCTATTTGTGACTAAGTATAATACTTTCATTTTCCTCAAATATACCCAACATGTAGAACAATTTATAGTTTTTCAATTGTAATATTTATATCCAGAATTAGGACAGTAGTGAATATTTGTAGACTTTGCCTATATTACACATGTATAGTGGAGGGATAGAAAACATCCTGATGAATATTCTGGGGGAAAATGCTGTTGGGAAGAGAGGACTTTACTCTTAATAAACTGTTGATTTCTACAGGATTATAGAAAGGTAGTTTTAATGAATCTTTAATACAGATACCCAATGCTGGGTAGAAATAAACATTGGTCAAATTGTGTTTAATGATAGTGATGATGTTGATGATGATGATGGTGATGATGATGGATAATATTAGTCTTCACTCCTGACTTCCTAGTAATGTTTATCTACATTCTCTCTAAAAGTTCCCTCTAAAAGTTTCTTTTCTTGGGAAAGGCTGCTGTAATATATTTTTCCTCTGTTAATATAGCCAAGATTCACTCAACCATTTTAAACTGAAAGACCTTGGCATTGAATGTCTACAAAAAGTTATTGTTTCTTACTCTTGTCACAACCCTAACATTTTATTAAAAGAAAATGGTAGAAATGAAAAAGTAATTCATTCTTTTAGCTTCTATAGTAATCTAGGAAGACATGGTTTGCTCCAAATTTGTACTCTTAGAGAAAAGGCTGAATGAGTAATGGAATGAAAAGGAACAATCCTATTTTCACTAAACAGAATAGTTACTTTGAGTGCCTCCAGCAGATTAAGGGAGTTCTGCTCACTGCATAACTTTGGATGTACACGTGTATGTGTGTATATACACATATATATACATATATACACATACATATATATATATGTCTATTTTATTTGCTACAATTTGGGTACTTTTGATTACACTTTGTTCTGAACTCAGAATAGTAACTTGAACAGGATATTAGGAAGAGATACTCACTTTAAAAGTTTTTAGAGACTGATTTCAATATGCTTATGAACAGATAAGGAAAATACAAAGAAAAGCTCCCTTCAACTTCTTTTAGTACAGAAAAAATATACCCATGCCAAAAAAAAATTAGGAAAGCTGCAGATCATTTGACTGTGGTGTCTTCTTATGTCACTATATCTTTAGGTTAATTCAATCTTGAGGCAAAGAAGTGCTCTTATAACTATTTTGCAATTATTTATGGTTTCTCAATTTCTCAAATATTCCTTTTCTAATTAAAGACTTCCTGATGCTAGTAGGTAGTTGTTAATTTTTAAATTGCAATTGCAAATTACTTAACAACCTCTAATGTTCAGTACACTCTAAACCTTTTAGCCTCTCTATTGATATCCTAATCATAAAATTAAAACATCAATAGTAAGCAGATGAGCTAATATAAGTGGTGTCCATGCTTTCTTTGGTGTGCCAATCAATAAAGGTATCATGATGACTTTCATTTCGATGATCCAGCTCCTGGAAATGGACACAACTTTTAAAATGCGTATTTAAACTTATGATTTGCACTAACTATATCATTGCTCAACATTTTGGTTATAACGGTTAAACTATCCTCAGTGACATCATGTACTCATGGTGTACTTGACGTAGGTCAAATACCAAAGGAAAATCGAGTCCAGCAGATAAGAGTCATGACCTTGAAAGTAGTAAAACAAAAATGCTAGAGTGATATTGTCTTATTTTCCAGGTGCATATGTACTCCAGGTCAAGGCCACAGATGCAGATGACCCGACCTATGGAAACAGTGCCAGAGTCGTTTACAGCATTCTTCAGGGACAACCTTATTTCTCTATTGATCCCAAGACAGGTAAATTTTTTATTAGAGGCAACATTATCACCAGCCCTTCAAATATTTAAACTTTAATTAAATCTTGGCATGGGGAGTTGCATATTCTAATATAGCCATAAAGCTTCAGTGCGATGCGCATTAAGCAAAGAAGATGGGATCTTTCCTTGCTGCTGAAGAACGATCTCCATTTAAGTGAACTTTGTGTAAAATAAACCTTTTAACATATCTTTCTAAAGTTCAAATTTGTTAGGTAAGCAGTCAATGTTGGTCTTATTTAAAATTTTCAAAAGTCTACTTTAAAACAAATTCTTCCAGCTATAATAGCTTTTCATTTCATATTTATTGGATGGGTTCAGTTATACTTAGTTTTGGGCTTTAACAATACATGGTAACATCCTGGAGCTTCTATTGCTATATATATAAGGGTTATTAATGCTTGGTTTAGATTAATAGAGACTTATGCTTATAGTGGGAGAAAGGAGAGACTTGACAATCTTGCAATACCAAAATCATTGATTTTGTTTGCCTATATCTTCAAATCCAGTCCCATTGTTAATTGAAAAATAGCAGTTTTCAAATTCAAATACAATATGAGTAGCATAGGAAGGGCAGGAGGCTATGCATGTGGAATATTTTGTCTTTCCTTTTAAATAAATGAGGTCACTCTATTTCTAAACAATCAATATCTGAATGTTGAATACTTTGCTAAGAAGACTCGACCACTTCACCGATGATCAGAGTAGGCCTTCCATGTCACAGTTGAAGCAGAAACCCCACAACGATGGTTATTTTGTCAATACTTATACACTACATTAGAACATATTGCAAATTGAATTTAATATGATGTATTACGTGAACTTAAAATAATGGAAAACTGTTCTCATATGGAACTAATAAGTTACCTTTTAAATTTGTAAATTGATTTTTAAATACCAACATGCATTTGAGAAGTATACGTTTCAGACACTATACATTCAAATAAGTTAAACATTTTATAATTGATACTTCCTGAGAGGTATGTGTAAAAATCTGGTATACGAATTAGATATAAGTTAATTAACAATTAATTATGTATTAATGTTGCCTGGAAACTTAAGGTCTACTGATGTTTCTTAACAAAAGTTGAGGTGCAAAATCTGCAAAACTTTTTGTCAACTGAACCTGCCATTCTCTCTTAATTTCTTATCCTCCTCATTAAGCCAATAGGGGCCAGAAGTCATCAAAAAGTTAAAGGACTAAAACAGGGAGTCACTCCGTTATGTAAACCTGAAAAGAGGGTAGAGTTTAATAAGGACAGCATCAGTCCTTCGAGAACTCCACTAAGAAGGGAGTATCGGTACTGAAGAGAATCCAGAATGGCTTAGGACAAAGAAGCTCCTCTGATTTCGATAGAGTTTTGGAGAATAAAAGCCAGTCTGTCAAATGTTAAAAGTGAGTGCATGATGAGAAAATTACACCTTACCATACAAGTGATTTTTTCAAGAAATATGGCAGTAAAGATAAGAAAATGTTTAGCAATATCATCTAAAAGGAAGTTTTGTGATTTTTTTTAGCTGTGAAAAAAATCTTATATATATTTTTGTAGAAAAGGTGGGTAAATTGAAAATAAAAAGAGATTGGGGAAGTTGTTCAATGAAGTTTATGATCCTACAGTGTTCCGGAGGAATTAAGAAGGCCTGGACAATAGGCTGAATATATGAAAATAATAAAGGAAATTATCTAAAATATTTCATTTTATCAGATGGGGCCACTATGGGTTATTTTTTTCTTGTATAGTTATGTATCCTTTTGAGGTTTGCTATAATGGGTAATCTGACCAGAAATGGAAGTATGGACAATGCTGTTCTCTTAGATCCCTTCAGCTTATGAAGAACACTCCTGAGAGACAAGAGGAATAAAAGAATAAGAAAAGTAGGTGTATAGAGATTGGTGAAGAAAGAGAGTATTAAAGGTCACTTACTGGATTACAATGATAAATTCTATAAAGTAGGTGAGTTTATATACTCAGAATAAGAGTGAGTATTCTCTTAGAATGAAGGATTTAGCATTAAGAATTTAATATTGGTAAAATAACTGTGGATAAAACCATATCTAACCTTTAAAAAGCAAGATAAAAATCAAACAAAGATAAATTTAAACGTAAAGGATGGGTTAAAAATATAATTTTTATGGTCAAATGAATACCAAACAACTTTATGAACCAAAAAACATACTCTTCCCTTGATTTCACTTGGCCAATATCAACTTTCAACCTATTCTAGTATGTTTAAAAAGTTTGTTTTACCATACAGTACGTGAATATGTAATGTAACTTTTATAATTTTGTATTTATATTTTATATAATGTTTATTATTTAGAACGAAGAGTGAAACAATTCTGTCGTAAGCTATGTAATAGATTTTTGAAGCATTGATTTTCACTGGAGACAGAAGTCTTGATATTAACAGTACCTTAGACCACTAGGCAGGAAAAGAGTGGATGATGAAGCACTTCATTAAGAGAATGAAAACTAGTTCTTCATGCACAGAAACCATTAAGAAGACTTTTTGTCAAATTTATCACCTTGTGGTAGATAAGAGTAAATCAAAAATCAAGGATAATTGCAATTTCTCAGAAATAGTCTCCATTTGTTCCAGCCATATAGCTTCCCTTTATGATTTCTTTGCTGTTATTAAATAAAACGCATGAAAAACTAATATTATCTGAAATTTTCCACATTTGAGTGTAGAAAACAGCTTAAAACAATTCTGAAAAGAAAAGTCTCATCAAAACCTCTGGTGCCTAAATATTTATGAAGAGATACAGAGATCATTTTGTGTTTCATTTGAAATGAGAAAATAAAAAGATTTCTGTATTGACACTGCTGTTTGACAAACATTCCCAGCATCTCTATCTAAGTGGATATGGCAAGTTCATTTCTAAACAATATAAATTGATACATTCTAAACAGTATAAACTCATTTATTCCATGAAATAAACCAATAAATAATAGTTCTTTTAAAATCAGTGTATTTGACAATTGTTTGCCTTAACTATGAAATAATTTACTCTGAGTTAAAATCCAGATGCATTCATTTATATGCTTTAGATGATTAGTAAATGACATTTAAAACACTCAAAATGTAGCTACAACTATAAAACATTAAACAATTATGTTTATTATACTTAACATTTATAAAACATTAAAATGTTTTATATTAACATATTGTATTATTTTATTATATAAATTATTTCACTTAATGTTTATAAAATATTTATAAACATCTATAATCTATAAAACATTAAACAAGAGCAAAAATATTATAATATTTAATTCAGTGATTGAAATCAGGATGCTGAACATCTCAACAGTTTTGATAATAGAGTAACTCCATTTAAGAAAACAAATATTAGTATAAATGATGAACTCTTATGTCTTAATTTAGTCTTAAAATTCTGTTAATGTATTTAAATTTTCCCTAAATGATTCTAAATAACTAGTCTGAGTTCAGTAACTAGGTATTGCCATATTTCATATCATATGGTAATGATATGCTGTATTCTAAATGATCTGAGCTCTACTTGAGAACACATTACAATATTATTTTACCTCAATATCCTCTTGTTAATCTATGAAATTGTTTTTTTCCTATCATGGTAAAATATACACAATATAAAATTGACAATTTTTACCATTTTAAGTGTACAATTCAGTTGCATTAAGTATGTTTACACTTTTGTCAAACCATTACACCATCTAGCCAAAACATTTCTCTCCGTATCTCTTAATTTACATGCATTGTGAAAAATACGTCCTTTATAAATGTTTATTTTACATGTTTCTACATGTATTTATAGAATTCATATTAAAAAAAACAATTGAGTGAGAATAGAGTTGCATGAGATACTTTAAAAGTTTTTTATTTCCTGTTCTGATATTTCTTGCTGTGTGATCCTGTTCTAAATTCTGCTTAAGGAAACATGATAAAGTTTGCCCACATGACTGATACTTTCCCAAGACTTTTGCTCTTGAGTCTATCGACCTTTCATTCAGAGATAATTATCTTCAAGCCTATCTCCCAACGAAACCTCCTCCTATAGCTTGACCGATATTATTCTTGTATGTCTTCTAAAATATGTTGGTGTTATAAAAGCTTCATATTAAAATTAAAGCTTGGGCCAATAACTCTATATTTTGAGCTAACACTTTATGATACTATAGACATACTTAGGCTTATGACTTGAACATTATTTTAAAAATTTATTTTGTATATCACATATATAACATGCTGTCATAAGAGATACACACACACATATAAATGGTTTCTATAGTAGAACAAATTAACATACCCATCATCTTACTTATTCATTCTCCCCCAACTACCCCTGGCTCCTCCTCATGGCAAAGAAAGTTATAATCTACTCGTTTAGCAAAAATCCAAAGTACAATACACTATTATTAACTCTAGTCCTCATGTTGTATATTAGATCTTTTAACTTGTTTATCTTGTATTTTTGCTATTTTGTATCCTTTGACCTACATCTCCCCATTTTCTCTCCCATACCCTGACCCTTATAATCTTTCTTTTATTCTTTACATGTGTTACCTCTTTTTTTAGATTCCACATATAAATAAGATCACACAATATTTTTATTTATATGCCTGGCTTATTTCACTTAGAACACTGTCCCCCAGGCCTATCCATGTTGTAGCAAATGGCAGGATCTCCTTTTTTAAGGTTGAATAGTATTCCATTATATGTGTATACCACAGTTTCTTATTCTGTTTGCCCACTGATGAACAACTACTTTGTTTTCATATATTGACTATTGGGAATAATGTTGCAATAAACATGAAAGTGCACATGTCTTTATGAGGCGATAATTTCATTTCCTTTGGGTATAGACCCAGAAAAGGGATTGCTGGGTCACATGGGGATAGAGCATTCTTTTGATATTAATTCAGAATAAAATCTGTAGAACTGAGTAAGACACCTCAGTTGGTACTGGTGAAATAAATTATATCTTCTTTCTTTAAGGGCAAAATAAAAGAGTCTTTTCCAACACAATGAAGTCACTCTTTTAATACTTTTTGCCAGAATAAATAAGTTGCCAGGAAGCATTAAGGCAAGAATTGATTATGGGATAGCAAAGGCAAGGAAATCAATAGACGCTAATAAATATAAGGAAAGAAAACTGTGTCAAGGAAATAAATAATTATTAAGATAAAACAGCACATATTATTACCTATTTTGTAATATTATGATCGTGTAGTAAATTCCATGCCCAGGAATGCACTGCAGGCAATCATTTTCTTGTATTCTGCATTGTCAGACTTCAGGTAGATTCTGGGTGAGTTCCATTTGCTTTATTTTAGAAATCATGAGATGAACACATCAGCAAAAATAACTAAGGATGTTTGGGCTTGAAAGGAAAATATTCCGGAGGGATGTGATATATGCCTTTAGCAAGTTGTAGAGCTGTCATGTAGAAGAGGAACTAGATGTATTCTGTGCTGCTTGAGAGGAAAAGAGCTATCAATACATAGTGTGAGTTACAGGAAGAAAGAATTCTGGTTTCATATATATACATATGTAGAAAAAAGATAAGAATAATACCATATATAAGAATGATAACTCATTAGATTGTGAGTTTCACATTACTGGATGGGTTAAAGCAGATGATGAGTAATGAACTGGTGGTGTTGGATTTGATTATGTCATTTGATGCACATGTATCTATAACATACGACCTGACAGGTCCTTTGCTATTGGGAGACTAAGATGAATCAAGTAGATCATCAAGTAGATCCCTATCTAGTAGGGGGAGCTCATCAGGTCTTCAGAAGATTATATGTGAGTTTTCTGGTATATAATCCTCTGATGCTACTATGGGACACTAGACTGATTGAAGGGATGAGAGCTTCTGGAAGAAAGAACTCCTGGAGGAAGTGGCTCATAAGTCCTATAGGAGAGTTAAGACATGATACAGTTAAGAAGTTGGACAATATGGCCCCTAAATTTCTTACTGAAGATAACCTGATAACTCTTCTTGTCTTTCAAACACATTAGCAAAAAATTTAAAAAATCATATACAAATGCAATGATGAACATAACATTTGAATAAATATTATTCAAGAATGTACTAGTATTTTTAAAAAATCCATTTTACATTTTAGGCTAATTTAACACTAAAATGAAATGAAACTCAGTAACTTTGCACATAAAATAATGCAAAATCTGCTCTCTCATAACTGTAATGTAACTGAGCTATGGAATTGAAAACAGAAACTTATATTCTCACTGCTGAAGTTACGTTTTGAGTACTATCATTACTCTTTTTTATCCTTCACCTTATTAGCTATCTCTAACATATTTGTGCATTAAAATACTGTTTTTAATGTTTCCTCCAAATCTTTATTAAAAACAATTAACAATGACTTGGTTCACACTGGAGTCTATGTTTAACTAGGAGAGATCTCTTTCAGGTCTAATCAAAAACATTTTCATGATACAATAGCTATAATACCCCTAGGTAAATACTAATAACCCCACCTTCTTCAAAATTACATCATGAGTATTTGGGTCAATAATGATGAAGATTACAAGAACTATGTTACATCATAATCTCTCCTGAAGGATAAACACTTATTTGCCATGTGTTACCTCAGCTAGCATTATGCACTACTTTATTTATTTTACTAATATTTATTGAGTGCCTACTATATGCCTGGTATTCTTCTAGCTAGCCATTTTCCAGGGAAGAAGAAAGTAAAGACAAAAGTCCCTGCCTTCAGCAACATACATTCAATTTGAGGAAACATAAAACAAACAGAATAAATACGGGAAATATATAGTGTTTTCAATAGCTTAAAGACTAAGGAGAGAATGTTAGAGAAAGAAATATGAAATATTAAGGAAGAGTATGTATGCTAGACAGAACAGTGATTGCCCAAGTATGTCCATGTCCTAAACCCCAGGACCTGTGAATATGTTATATTACATGGCAAAGAAGAATTAAGGTTCTAATCACATATAGTGGAGATGAGGTGATTATTCTTATTATATGGGTAGACTCCGTGTAATCACAAGGGTTCTTGTATGCAGAAGAAGGAAGCAGAAGGGTCAGAGTCAGAAAAAGATATGAAAACGCTAATCTGCTACTGCCTTAGAGGAAGGAAGAAGGAGGTCAGGAGCCAGGGAGTGCTGCCATTGTCTGGATGAACAGCATTTAGAAAAAAATCACAGCTCTACCCATGCCCTGCCCCTTGTTGGCCTCCTTACATCCAGAATTGTAAGATAGTAAGTTTATGTTGTTTTAGGCCAGTAGGTTTGTGGTAATTTGTTACAGAAGCAATCAGAAATTAATTTAGAAAGAAATTTTGGATAGAATGGCTAACACAGTCCTATGAAGATGACTTTTAAAAAAGATCTAAAGGAAGTGGAAGAACTACAAATAAGCATCCCTTGGAAAGAACATTTCTGGCTGGGGAAGACAGTGTGCAAGGCTGCAGTGAATGAGGGAGGGAGTTGTAGAAAAGAAGATCAGAGTTCAGCAGGAAGGTGAAGATTATGTGAGGGCTTTATTCTGAAAGGTGTGGACACTCTGTGATGACTTCAGAGTGGAGGAGCTCTGTGACCTGGCTTACGCTCCAACCTCACCATCATGGCTGCTCTATGGAGAGCAGACTGGTGGTCTAAGTCTCCTTTGAACTATAAACCTCATTGGGTGGAGAATAAAGCCATTTACCCATTGTTCATCTGCCAGTCCCGTGAGTTCATATAGTGCTGGTCTAAATCTCTAGAATTTGGAGAAGAGCAAAAAATTTTTTTGTCATATGCTGTCTACAAAAAACCATTTTCTTCTTTTATGACATTATTCAGAATGATTAAGATAAAGCCTGGACTTGCCTCCCCAGGTATTTAGCTCCAAAGTAAAAGAGGGATAAGTTGAAAACAGACAATAACTTTTTTCAAGAAAACAAACTTCTTCTTTTGCAAAATAAGTAGCTATAGGGTAAAAGAAATCAATGAAATAGATTCTTCAGGGCATATGTAGAAGATGGGGAGAAAGTACAAGAAAAAAATGAGAATAAAATCTATTTTTTGATTAAGATTCACAGAGAGTAGAATAAAAAAGAAAAGATATCACAAAATAATAAATTTACAGTGAACTAAAAAATTATGGTACATATAGGTGGAAAAGTAACATAGCTGTATTAAGAACAGGGAAACAGAAAAACAGACATACTCTTGAAGTGGCGTCATTGTCTGGGATAATGAACCCCAAGGTTCCTTTTCCCATGCTGAGGAAATCAAGGATGCAGACACACAGGGAGTGAGGTTAAGAACGGAGGTTTAATAGGCAAAAGAAAGAGAAAGGCTCTCCTGCAGAGAGAGGGCACCCGAATGGGTTTCTGCTTCTGCAGTGAAATGCAGCAGGTTTTATAGATAAGCTTGAGGAGGTGATGTCTGATTTACACAGGGCACAAAAGATTGGTCAGACCAGGTGTACTGTTTGCATAAGGTGCGAAAAACTGGTTAGGGCTAGGTGTGCCATTTGCACAGTTTGTGAAAATCTGGCCATACCACCCTAATCTTTTGTTATGCAGATGGGTTCTCTACCTGGCTAGTGCCACGTTGCCTAGTTCTTTACTGTACATGTGGTGACAAAGAAAAGGGAAGACAGAGCCTCCATGTTGAACATGCCTGGCTCCTAGGTAGCCCTTTTCTCTCCGCACAGCTGCTGGCATTCCCCCGAGCAAGCTTCCAGCTTGCTTATCTATGTCTGCAGCTCAATTTTTCAGTCTGCTCTTTGCTGGAAAAGAAATAATTTGGCGCTGCTTTTTATTAAAAGGGAAATTTTACCAAGGACTCTTTTACTCTTACTATCTGCCTAAGTAATTTCTTTCTATCTCCTTTATCACTCTGAGCCAGACATTAACTAGATGCCAGAATTAGAAAAGAAAATAAAAGAACTTCTCTCTGTCCTAAAGTGGCTTTCTGTCTGCTAAAGAAAGGTAAACAGGCAACAAATCAAAACATGCAACAAAACATTCTACATGCTATGACTGAATCCTAGGGAGGGTATAGTCATTTCTTCCTGAAGCCATGCTGTGGGTCAGAAAAGGCTTCATGAAAAAAAAAAAAAAAAAGACTAAAGTGGAAGAAACCAGAAAGATGTCCACTAACTGGGCAGGCATTCATGGGGGAACTGAGAGAATGAGGACAAGAAGTTTGGAGAAGGTTAGGGACTCAGTGGACATGGAATGGTTGGAATAGCTGGAGCCTAAGCACTCAAATGTGTGCACTTCACATGGCTTCTTCTCACAAGCTTTGACCATTAGGAGTGGATGACTGGAATGAAGGCATTTCTTGTTGGAGTCTCACAATTCTTACTCTATTTATAGGGGCTAGGTAACATAACAATTCTGTGAATTGCATTATTCAAATGATCCCCTACCAACTTGTCATTTCTTTGAATAAACACTATCTTTACATATATTTATTCATGTGAAATGGTATGATGGATCCTAGACTAGGATTCAAGTTATCAATCCTGACATTCCTTCTGTCACCTATACCTTAGATAAGTCAAGCTTTCCGTTATTCATACAGTTGCTGCTATGCTCCTGAAAATGAATGTAAAAAGCATATCAATCTCATCTAATCTAATCTATCTATCTATCTATCTATCTATCTATCTATCTACCTACCTCAGTAGTCTCAGGTAATAATAAGAATTAACTTCTATTAAGATACAGCAGGACATTTGAAAAGAGTTTGGAATTATTGAAGATAGTCTTCGAAATTGTAGTTGCATTTGTGACTGTCACCAAATAGATGCTAGCAGAAGGTCTATCACTATATCACTATCCATCTATCTATTTCTATAGCTATCTGTCTATTTATCTGGACAGAGAGAGTTGTGGAATTGTTTTTTTCTGGTTATTTGCCAACCTATATAAAAAGCTATCCACTGGGATCCAGTTAGATTAAAACATTAAGATGCAATTGAACAGAGACAAAATAGGTATTATCAGAGTTAAGAGTAGATGTGTATTTTTTCCAGTGATTCATAAAAATTGTCAAGACCTTTTCCATCACACTCACAGCCCTGCCCTCCTGCTCTACCCTGTTTCTGATGAGTGATGTCTCTGCTGCTTCTAGCCCTGCTGTTAGTGTAATGCTACCAACTGGATAGTATGTAGAACTTAGACAGAGGAAAGGATTGTATATGTAGTTTGAAAGTCAATTTCTAGTGATGACCAGGGTGTGCTTCCCCTGCCCCAGCACCACTTCCATTTAAGTACCGCTGTTCCAGAGGAAAAATAATGTAGTTATGTGTATGTTTTTTTTTTGGAGTTGAAATCTGGGTACTAAGCCAAACTCCAAATTTAACATGAGAATCTTTAAACATTGCAATTTATTTTAAGGTGGGAGAAGAACTTTTTCAAGAAGTTATTCTTTTCATAGTACCCCATTTTTATGAATTTCTCAACAATTAAGCAAAAAATGATTGCATCATCTTGGGAAAAGACGATCTTTGCATCTTAATGTTTTAATCTAACTGGATCCCAGTTTATAGCTTTTTATTTAGGTCAGCAAATAACCAGAAAGGAACAACTCCACAATTCTGTCTCTCAGTCCAGATAGATATATAGATATAGAAATAGACTGTTGGATAGTGATAGAAATAATTTTCATGTTGGAAATTTTTATGCTGGAAATGAATTAAGAAAGTTATACATAATTTTCTTATTGAAAATGAATTAAGATAGACTCGGTCAACAACAGGACAAGACATAATGCATATGAATCAAACCCAGGCATCTATCTAGAAAACATAAGCATTGTATGTCAGGCAGAAGTCACATAACTTAAGGTATGTAGAACCAGAACACTCATCGGTAGAGATGAAGAATCTTAGTAAAGAGACTTGGAAATGAAGCTTCAGGAGCCTGAGCTGAAGAAAGGACAAACACATTGGATTAAAAAGGTGTCACCCCATCTCTACTAAAATACAAAATAAGCCAGGCATGGTGGCGCATGCCTGTAATCCCAGCTACTCCGGAGGCTGATGCAGGAGAATCACTTGAACCCGGGAGGCGGAGATTGCAGTGAGCCCAGATTGCACCATTGCACTCCAGCCTGGGCAACAAGAGAGAAACTCTGCCTCAAAAAAAAAAAAAGTGTCAGTACAAATTGATAAATAAAGTAGCAGCAGCATAAATGAAGGCTGTCTTTTTTTTGCAACAATTTCCTGCCAAGAGTCAGAAGAAATCTCAGATTGTCAAATTTAAATCAGTGTTTGTTAAGTAGAGAGTAGAAAGTACAGATAAAACAAGGATGTATGTTGGGTTTATGATTTGGATTCTATATGTTTGTTGATGGTTGATTTATTTTTGTTGATATTATATTTGTTATTTATATATGCTACTTAAAGAAAGTAGCATGTTTCTTAAAGGAAGAAACAACACTATTAAAGCCAGCTGTGTTTAAAACAAATGCTGTCCAATCTCTCCCTAAAGCCATTGACTAAAGATTGGAATTTGGTATGAAATGTATTCATGATTTCATTTGAGAATAATCCAGGAGGTTTTGGTTCTTTTACTATGAATAAATAGGAATATAAACTATTTTTACACTTGGACACCAGGGCAGGAAATGAGGACAATATGTAAATATGTACATGTACTGTAAAGTTCACACTTATAAATTTAATTATTTAGAGATTTATTCACTCAGCCAGTCACTCATTCGGTTAATTGGTTTGCATACACTCATTGTGTTCCTTGTAAATGGCACTGTCCTGGCTGCTGGAGAAACTTAGTGAAATATCTGTTGCTAAAATAACTAACGGGAATTCTGAAAGACAAAATAAAATATGTAATGAAGATATTGAATGCATTTTTAGAAAAGAAATTAGTATTTTTACTCTAGAAAATAAACAGAAAAACAAAGAAGAAAGTAGTAATAATTGGAAATTGCATACTCATTTCAACCACTTCGCATTTTTTGTATTTATATTTTACCTCTAATTTTTAATGATTTCTTCTTTTTAAAGATAGGATCGTGCATATAAATCATGTCTAACTTGGCTTACTTATGAATGATGACTACCTCTTAGAGGTGATACATTGTTCTTTAACCATATTTCTCATTGTGGCATGGCATTTTGTTGTGTAGCTACTATAATATTTTAAATTATGTCCTAACCATTGGACATTTTGAATGTCTCACTTTTTAAAAGATACAATTTTAGCTATTATGTCTCTGTTAGTGATTCTAGGTAGAATCATGTTGTTGTTGCATTTTATTTTATTTCAGAAAACAGAGCATTTGTGATATTTATTTTACATTATTGCTTTTATCCCTTAAGGTGTTATTAGAACAGCTTTGCCAAACATGGACAGAGAAGTCAAAGAACAATATCAAGTACTCATCCAAGCCAAGGATATGGGAGGACAGCTTGGAGGATTAGCCGGAACAACAATAGTCAACATCACTCTCACCGATGTCAATGACAATCCACCTCGATTCCCCAAAAGTATGTCACCTTTCCTGTTAAGCCTAAATTATTGCGGTTTAAAAAAATTTAATGGTGTCATTGAATGCTATGGGAATGACAATCATTTTCCAGACACTTAGTCTTTAGGAAGCAGAAGCTAATGGATTAAAAATTACAAATCTTTTTTTTTTTTTATACTTTAAGTTTTAGGGTACATGTGCAGAATGTGCAGGTTAGTTACATATGTATACATGTGCCATGCTGGTGCGCTGCACCCACTAACTCGTCATCCAGCATTAGGTATATCTCCCAATGCTATCCCTCCCCCCTCCCCCCACCCCACAACAGTCCCCAGAGTGTGATGTTCCCCTTCCTGTGTCCATATGTTCTCATTGTTCAATTCCCACCTATGAGTGAGAATATGTGGTGTTTGGTTTTTTGTTCTTGCGATAGTTTACTGAGAATGATGATTTCCAGTTTCATCCATGTCCCGACAAAGGACATGAACTCATCATTTTTTATGGCTGCATAGTATTCCATGGTGTGTATGTGCCACATTTTCTTAATCCAGTCTATCATTGTTGGACATTTGGGTTGGTTCCAAGTCTTTGCTATTGTGAATAGTGCCGCAATAAACATACGTGTGCATGTGTCTTTATAGCAGCATGATTTATAGTCCTTTGGGTATATACCCAGTAATGGGATGGCTGGGTCAAATGGTATTTCTAGTTCTAGATCCCTGAGGAATCGCCACACTGACTTCCACAATGGTCGAACTAGTTTACAGTCCCACCAACAGTGTAAAAGTGTTCCTATTTCTCCACATCCTCTCCAGCACCTGTTGTTTCCTGACTTTTTAATGATTGCCATTCTAACTGGTGTGAGACGATATCTCATTGTGGTTTTGATTTGCATTTCTCTGATGGCCAGTGATGGTGAGCATTTTTTCATGTGTTTTTTGGCTGCATAAATGTCTTCTTTTGAGAAGTGTCTGTTCATATCCTTTGCCCACTTTTTGATGGGGTTGTTTGTTTTTTTCTTGTAAATTTGTTTGAGTTCATCGTAGATTCTGGATATTAGCCCTTTGTCAGATGAGTAGCTTGCGAAAATTTTCTCCCATTTTGTGGGTTGCCTGTTCACTCTGATGGTAGTTTCTTTTGCTGTGCAGAAGCTCTTTAGTTTAATTAGATCCCATTTGTCAATTTTGGCTTTTGTTGCCATTGCTTTTGGTGTTTTAGACATGAAGTCCTTACCCATGCCTATGTCCTGAATGGTAATGCCTAGGTTTTCTTCTAGGGTTTTTATGGTTTTAGGTCTAACGTTTAAGTCTTTAATCCATCTTGAATTGGTTTTTGTGTAAGGTGTAAGGAAGGGATCCAGTTTCAGCTTTTTATATATGGCTAGCCAGTTTTCCCAGCACCATTTATTAAATAGGGAATCCTTTCCCCAATTGCTTGTTTTTCTCAGGTTTGTCAAAGATCAGATAGTTGTAGATATGCGGCGTTATTTCTGAGGGCTCTGTTCTGTTCCATTGATCTATATCTCTGTTTTGGTACCAGTACCATGCTGTTTTGGTTACTGTAGCCTTGTAGTATAGTTTGAAGTCAGGTAGTGTGATGCCTCCAGCTTTGTTCTTTTGGCTTAGGATTGGCTTGGCGATGCGGGCTCTTTTTTGGTTCCATATGAACTTTAAAGTAGTTTTTTCCAATTCTGTGAAGAAAGTCATTGGTAGCTTGATGGGGATGGTATTGAATCTAAAAAAAAAAAAATTACAAATCTTCAGGGTTGAACATTTTGATGAGATTCATGCCTAGGGTTACTTTAGTAAAAAATAGTGAGCCAATAGTTGAAGTATTGGTCTTATGCTATCAATTTTTATTAAAGTAACATATTCAAAATAAGTTGGGATCTTACCCTAATATTTTATTAACTGAGAAAGTAATATAAATGTCCCAAATCTAATGTAATATGGAGCCTCATAGTTTTGACACATTTCCCACCATATTAGATGCTATGTCATATAATTAACATTAGAATTCTGTGCCTTCTTTTTGGTGATTATATGTGTTGAATCATTTCCAAATATTTTCATGTATCAGATGATATTGATGCTATTTACATTACTTTAGTTCTGACTAGTTATTTCATTTTAGTTTTGTAATAGATGAAAATTGCTATAGTTTCTATGATAATAGAGTAATTCACACCTATGTCTTCTCTATAACTCTGTGTTTCTTGTTGAAAATGAGTTCTCACTTGTGTTACATTTAGTTTTCTGTTGCAGTATTACATCTAACACCAATCACTACCTGTTTTATTCCTGGTGCATTTTCAAGGATCATTTCAGTGTCCCCAGGACTTAGAATACAGAAGCTGCATGTTTCTGTCACTGGTTGTATAAGGATCTTAATTAAGTCACTAGGCAGTCATTTGCATAAACAGTCAAAAAAACACAGTTTTTTCTCTTTCCACTCCAGGAGAGTTTACGAGTTCATCTACTAAAATATATAATATTGAAGATATTTAGCTAAATGAACATTTTATTTATTCCTTTGGCTATATGTAAGTTTTTCCATATTTTACTACTTTGTCATTTTTTTTCTTAAAATCATAAACCTATATTTTACTGATGGAAATGTTTTAGTTTAGTGACCAAATGTCTAAAGGCCAAATGCTTTGAGTGGCAATTAGAAATAATTACACTTTAATGGATATGTTAATTGGCTTGACTGAGCCATCCCACTCCCAATAAGTATACACATTTAAAAACATGTTGTATATATTAAAGGTGAACAATTTCTGTTTGTCAATTAAAATAATTAATTAAAGAAAAAGTAATTCTACTTTTGCATATAAATGTATCTGACAAATGGCTACTATATAATATGCTATGATTAATAACACAGAGAGTCTTAAAGCAATACTTTTCCTTATTTTGTTATTAAGGAAAACAGGAAAAAAGAGATATAAAAGGAGAAAGAAATAATGCATTTGTTTCTCTAATATATGGTGTGACTAATATGATCTCGACACTAAAAACACTGAATTTTTATTTTTTTAACCACTTAAGTGTGGCAAGCTGTAATAGCTAGTTGAGGAGGACAGATTGGGAGACTGCTTGTACATAAAAAGTGGCATTGTGAAATTGGGCGCTGTTTTGGGTTTTGTGCATATGAAATATGTTCAATCTAGAGTGTAGGAAATAGCCAGTGTATTATTAGGTAATGTCAATATCCTCATTCACATGGGTGATAGTGAGGATTCCTATATCAGGGATACAAAGTTACAGCAAGTGGAAGAATGCAATCCATGTGGGTATGGATGAAGGCTGGTTTGTAGAAGTTGGACTTGAGACCCTGACAAATAGCCTGGGCAAAGGGGCATGATGACAATGGCTCAATGGCAAAGAAGCTAGAGTATGCTTAGGAAACCAAGATGGCGTGCTTTACTCCCACTGAAACAAGATGGTCATTTTCGGATCTTAACAAATGAAAAGAGTATCTGAATAAAGTAGTAGTCCTGCTTGGCATTTATTCAAGGTTGAATCTACAGGTCTAAGGGAAAGTCTCTGAGATGTACTTGCAAAAAATGTAGAGGATAAGGGCATTGGAACTTTTTTTTGTTTTGTTTTTGTTTTTTTGAGATGGAATCTCACTCTGTGGCCCAGGCTGGAGTGCAATGGCATGATCTCGGCTCACTGCCACCTCCGCCTCCCAGGTTCCAGCAATTCTCCTGTCTCAGCCTCCCAAGTAGCTGGGATTACAGGCGTCTGCCACTACACCCAGCTAATTTTTTAATTTTTATTAGAGACGGGGTTTCACCACGTTGGTCAGGCTGGTCTCAAACTCCTGACCTCAGGTGATCCACCTGCCTTGGCCTCCCAAAGTGCTGGGATTACAGGCATGGGCCACCATGCCTGGCCAGCACTGGAACTTTTAAAGCATTTACATATGTGTCAAGAACTTTATCATTACTATCTTGATTTCCTTTTCACATCAATACTCTAAGATCACTATTTTCCACATATTACTGTTAAGAAACTGAGGCCTATAAAGAATAATAACTTGCTGAAGATCAACAAAATTAACTGACTTAACAAAAAATCTGAAGTTCAAATTCCTTCCAGTTTAACGTCATATTAAAATAAAAGTTATTAGTTTCCTTTATCTGTCACTCTACAATCTTAGAGCACATCTGCAAAAAAATCACGGCGTATGTTGTCACCACTCATAAACAGGAAAATGAGAGGACAGAAGAAATCTATCAAGGAGATCACTGTGATCAAATTATTTTCTGCTTGTATTACATGAACACTTGGACTATTGTCTGAAACTATAACGGGTGGGGGATATTTTTGAACCAGGAGAAAGAAGAGGTTTTCACATTTTGAATGAATAAAAAATTCATCTCCCTGAAATTTTACATGTTTTTGTATTAAGACCTTTTTACTACACTGTCATTTTGAATTACATCCTTTAGAGGAAAAAACAGAACAAAACATTTATAAAGAGAAAAGCCAATTCTTTAAAAGCCAATGCTCTTTTTGCAGGAATATTTCTCATGTGGCACAATTAACCGTCAAGTGTGATATAGAATTACAAACTGAAATAGTATCCTTTTCAATGTGGAAGTCAACAAAATCTATTCCATACATACATAAGAAAGAATTTCCCACAACTAACTATATTTGTTCGTGACTCTTAAGCACTTATGCTAAAAAAAAAAAAAAAACCTTTCTCCAGATGAACTTTATGAGATACTCTTCTCATTGCTTAAGCTACACAAATTAAGTTCTTAAAATTTACTAATTGTAAAGCATTTTGGCTTTGTGTATGTGACCTCTTAATTTGAGATGGAAAAAAATGTAAATGGCATAGGCATTTGTATCATGCATGTATAGTTTGCTATTTTATTGTTGTTGTAAAATATATAGTTTCTGAGATATCACATACCAGATATCACTGCCAATTTGATATGATGATGTGATGAGGATCTAGACTAATAAATCACTGTGTGTCATGCACTACAGAAAGTGAGTTGCATATATATTCCCATTTAACTCTCATTATGGCAGTATAGCATTTTCTCACTTTTGAAAATAAAGGAGCAAGGCTATATTATTAAGAATGGTTGAATAGATAACTTGTCCAAGAACCCTAACTTCTTAGCACTCTCCCTCTTTAATGGTAATTTGCTTTCAATGCCTGTGTTTTCCCCCAAAAGATCCTACAGATAACCCAGAAAACGGTCTTCAAATAAAGGTAGTAATATTGTTTCAGAAATAGAAATGATACATGCCATATTAAAAGAGCGGTAACTGAAGTTATATAAAGACAAAATAGTTTCTTTACAAAATGTTTTCCGTAGAATTAAATAGCTTCCATCTACTACAATCAAGGATATCTGTAGAGGATTTCCATCTGTTAAAATAAGCTACAGAAAAGTGCTGATGGATTCCAATATATGAATTTTAAAGGACAAAACCATCTAACAAGCTGATCTAAATTATACATTATAAGATTAAATCAATTAAGTGATGCCGTTAATTAACATTTGGCAAAATATTCATAGTTTTCCCAGTTGGTCGCTTTTTCTGTATAATAATTTTGTAAGAAATAGGAAAACAAATTAAGTAAAATAAAGTACTCTGTATACAATATTTGATGAAAAGAGAGTTTTCCATTATAGAAAATGTGAAGGAGTGTGTGTGTGTGTGTGTGTGTGTGTGTGTGTGTGTTTTCCTTTCTATTTCAATATAATAATAGATAAGATAATTGTATGGTAAACAGATTTGAACATAGAAAATAGTACGTCAATAATCGTTCTAAGAAAATTTCTTACTCATAAATACAACAACATTTTAAAGCAATTCTCTGTTTTGATTAAATATCTACAAACGTGTTTATATTGACGGTTTCTATTAAGAGCTATATTATTTTTGATTCTGTTACAAGTCAGTAAAACATCATTTACACAATAATTGCAGAATAAAACATAGTTGTATTATATCATAGTTTTTTAACTTGTTAACACCTGAAGATATAAAAATTCTTATTATTCTGAAATTAACATAAAAAATCAAAATAAAATTGAAGTAGTAAAAGCATCAGCCAGAATGTTTACAGAACAGTGAACAATATTTTGTCTTTGTTTACGTCAGCTGTCAGATTAAAAACAACATATATATGTATGTACGTGTATATATGTACACATATATATGTCTATATGCTATATGTTTTTTCTTCTCCTGTAGATTTATGACATAGAAGGACTACAAGATGTCCAAGTTAATTATTGAATTATTAAAGATAATATGCCAATAACTATACATTTATTCAGTTAAAACTATTGATATGTTTAAGTAAAATGTATTTTCTCTTTTCATCCTGTCATTAATGTTTTTGGCAGCCAGGCTTAGATTGGTTGTTTTATGATCTTGAAATCTACCATAGGTCTTTTTTTTAAAGAAATGTTTTTTAAAATATGTAACTTATAAATATTTTCTTAGAATAAACATGAATTCAGCTACATCTTGATGTGGCCACAAAGTGTATTTCTTTGTTTACTATTTGGCATTCTTAAACTTGGAAAATGGTAAGCTACTAGGCTTAAGTTTTCTTGATAAAACCATATAATAAGTCATTTTGCATAAATAGTGAAAAGCTAATTGAATTTTGACAGTTACATTTTACCATATAAAAACACACCTTTACACTTTGTCAGGTACTTAATGTTTGACTGTCTTAATATCTGAGATTGCCTGCTAAAAACAAGTGTTCTGTGATGTAAATTCATTTGTGTATATATATGTGTATACATATATATATATATACACACACATACGTAACATATATATACAGTCTGAGCATTCATAATTCTTTATAAATTGTTATAAAGCTAAGTGTATGTGTGTGTGTATATATATAGGTATATTCATATAGTCTCAAAGTCATGAAATCATATTCTAGGATAAAATATTTCCTGTTATTTGAGTCCAGAGAAGGCAATCTGCTACCCACAATGTACTGCTGACTTTGTTATTGTTGTGAGTAAATTATATGCCTCTCTCACCTCCCACATTTCCTGGAAAGTCTGGTTAAGAGTCTATTGCCTGCCTGCACAACAAGTGCAAACAACTGATAACACCCCCAGCATACACATAAATGATTCCCCAGAGGGTGAAACAAAGGTGAATTGCCACTCTTATCACTATCTCCAGTATGCTCTCTTAAGTAAATAGATGGAAAATAAAAAGATGGTAGCAAGTACTGTGAAAGCAAATACCAAGGAAGTATGGCTAAAATAATGGCTCTTATGTGAAATCTACAACTATTAAATGAGGATAACTACTTCAGCTTATTCAAATAATTGAGGTTGAAGGGATGGTGTGGGCCAATTTGATCAGCAAGGTTAATGTATAATTATCTAACATATAATTTAATAAAGAAGTTTTGACTACAAAATGCATGGTAAGGTTTTCCTTAATCGAAAGCAGGTGGAGGTTTTAAATAGTAATACACAAAGTTCATGATATGTTAATGTTTCAATTATACAAATATACGTTCGTTTCTAAAGTGTAGTACTGGTGCTTGTTCAGCATCAATTTTAGTATACAGTTTAGTTCTCACAATTCTATTTCTACTAATGTTTAAGTAATTTCCAACAGTTAACACTTTGCTAGCATTCTTTGATAACAAATTTACCTAATCTGCTGTTTTTAGGGCCATGCTTTTCTTCTAAATATCTCCCATGTAGGAAGAGAATGTAACTTTCAAAAGTAGTATTTGGGACATTACTAATATTTTTAATCTAGATTATTTAGATACTGTACATGAATATATTACCCTTTTGGTCAATACTTCCCAAAGATATGAGTAAGACAGAAATAGACAAATAGAACTTTGATGTTGTGTGTGTTTATGTGTATTCATATATATGAGATATATATGTTATATGAATTGTGTGTTATGTGCATGCGTATCCTCTCACTTCGGTGGAAACATTTAAAGGGCATAAAAAATAAAACTGCAAATCTAAGCATTTAAAAATGTTAAACAAAAAGCTATGACCTTGTATTCAGGTACTAGCTGAGTCTCATAACAATTTTAGGCATGAGTAATAGAAATAGAGTCATCACATTTGATGACACTGTCCCTGTTTTTGAAAAATAAGCAAAGATACATTATAAAACCAGCTTTTTTCTAAGTAGAATAAACACATCTAATTTAATTACCAAAAAGCTCCTTTGTCTGCTTCAATAAAAGTAAAAATGAATACATGCTGAAGGTAAAGCATGGCAATGAGAACATAGACCCTATTCTCCAGTAGATCTTACAGTGGCTCTCAAATTATATTTGCCTGAAGAATCCCTTGGGATCCCATATCCCCAGTGAGGGAAGTTCTGTTTCAACTGACATAGCTTGGACCTAAGAAATCTAAATTTTAGATAAGTTTTGTGGTAGATTCTGATACAGGTAGTCTACAGAGCAAACCTGAAGATCACTGGTTTACTGTGGTGAGCCAGCAAGTGCTGATTCCTTGAATCATTTGTATGCATATATATGAGATACATGATATACATATATTCTATATCATATATCATATATTAATGTTTGGTATATATTACATATAATATATGCCATAGATTATATAATATATTACATATAATATATGACATATCACATATGCCATATATTATATATTACATATGATATATAATATATGATATATAATAATATATATCATATATTAATAATATATGTAATTAATAATATATAATAATGTATATTACATAATATATTAATAGATATTAATTATATATAATTATACTATATAATATATAATATATATTATATGTTATATAATATATAATATATATTATATAACATATAACATATAATATATATTATATGTTATATAACATATAATATATATTATATGTTATATAATATATAATATATATTATATGTTATATAACATATAATATATATTATAATATATATATTATATGTTATATAATATATATTTATAATATAATATATATTATATGTTATATAATATATATTTATAATATAATATATATTATATGTTATATAATATATAATATATATTTATAATATAATATATATTATATGTTATATAACATATAATATATATTATATATTATATATTATATATTATATCATATATTATATATAATATATTAATATATGATATTATATATATTATATCATATATCATATTACATAATATGATATTATATATAATATATGATATATATTAATATTATATCATATATTATATGATATATATTAATATTATATCATATATCATATGATATATATCATATATCATATGATTTATATTATTATAATATATATCATATATTATATGATAATATATATATTATATGATATATATTAATATAATATATATCATATATATGATATGTATCATGTGTCTCATATATAATAAGCATTTCCATTACTCATTAAATAGAATGAATAAGTTAATAAGTTAATTGTGTATCTCATGAGAATATTTTGTATTCATGCAAAATTGTATTCCTACAGGTATATTTGGGTAAAGACTAAATATTAAAATCTATTCATTTTAAACTAACTAAACAAACAGACACTCATATATAGTGGTATATCTTGTTTAGACGTCTTCCAAATAGCTTAACAATGTCACATACATGTGCTTTGAGGCTAACATTGGAAATGAATACAATTTGAATGCAAGCTCAGTGAAAAACACTGTGCTCCAGATTCTCCTATAAGGAGATCATGAGTTTTACTAGGCTCTATATAGGCTGATGTAGGCATATAAAAAGAAAATTAGCAAATTTAAAACATAATTTGTCATGGCTATTATTACTAATATCACATTGTCATTTGCTAACGAGAGCATGAATCATTTTTAAGTGGTGCTGAAAATTTTTGTTGACTTACTTAGTTCTGTTCACCATGTCCTAAAGGACAAAGATTGCAACATGGCTGTTTCATGGTGCCATTAGCAGAGTCTCAGAAGAACCTAGCATATGAGCAAAAATATTGACAGGTCCCTTAGAAATCTGACCTTTAGTTTTAAATTATTTTTCTGAAAGATATTAAATAATGCTTAAAATTGAAGTGATATTAAAGATATTGCCCCTAATCTTACCAACGTTATAAAAAATAATGTTAAAGGCCATGGGTCCATTTAATACTTGTAATATTTGTTAATGTTAATCTGTCTACTTTCCAGCTCACTTTAAGTGACTTTTTTAGAAATTAAAATATTGGCAGAGTGGCATGAATAATGTAGTGTTATGTAGTCTACCATACAACTCAAATATGAGACTTTACTTATGACAGAATAAAACCTGTAAGTTCCTAAACAGGCAAACAAATTAAAACATAAAACCTGAATTGGAAAGCTCTTCTATCCCCACCTTTTGGCCTTCCTGCAAAAATACGAGAAAATTGTCTCTTTTGACAATCCCCCGAGAATCAGGGCAAGTACATGGATACAGAAACAGAACTTAGCCAACTTAGTAATAACAAAACATCTAGGCCTCTGGCTGTGATCTCCCCATACCTCTCCTTTATTTACTAAGTCCTCAAGTTCACAAGTCCTTAGCCTGCTTTTCTGAATTTGGCTGCTGGAACTGCATTAGCCAGTTCCCTGATTTCCACAGGTGGTACACTTGCCACTTCTCTTTAGAGAATAGGGCGATCATTATAGAGAGAAAAGCAGCTCACATATATTGCACCTGTGCTATGTAAAGACACCATTAAAATTGTATATTAACTTCCTTAATCCGTATGAGTAGGTTCCGTCTATTTGTACATTTTTAGAAGAGGAAACTGAAAGAAAAAGAGATAGTGAGAGATGGGGCCAGAAACTTTGTAGTTACATGTATGATACAGCAGAACGTAAGTGGATAGCACATTAGAGCTATGGTATTGATGTTTATGAAAATATAGATTACTGCTCCCAACATCAGAATTGTCCCAGTAGCTAGGAGTAGGAGCCCTATATGTGACTATGGGGCTTTCAATCCACTGCTCCACTAATCAAAGCTAAAACGACATTGTTTTAAAGTCTCACTGTATGTTGTTTTTTGTTTGTTTGCTTGGTTTTTTTTTGTTTGTTTTTGTTTTTGTTTTCTTTTTTTGAGACAGAGTCTTTCTCTGTCGCCCCGGCTTGGAGTGCAGTGGTGCCATCTCGACTCACTGCAACCTCCACCTCCCAGGTTCAAGCAATTCTCTGCCTCAGCCTCCCGAGTAGCTGGGATTACAGGCACCCGCCATCATGCCCGGCTAATTTTTTTTGTATTTTTAGTAGAGACAGGGTTTAACCATCTTGGCCAGGCTGGTCTTGAACTCCTGACCTTGTGATCCACCCGCCTCAGGCTTCCAAAGTGCTGGGAATAGAGGCTTGAGCCACCATACCTGGCCTCTGTGAGTATTTTTAAGCTTATAAAGTGATTCGTAAAGCACAGAGGGCCTAGGGTT
This sequence comes from Homo sapiens, assembly GCF_000001405.40. NCBI lineage: Eukaryota > Metazoa > Chordata > Mammalia > Primates > Hominidae > Homo > Homo sapiens. The sequence goes on along the minus strand of NC_000005.10, from coordinate 21,830,698 downwards.
TTGGAAAGGTACAGATGGGAAACACAGCTCTGCTATTTACTCACTGGGGCCTGACTAAACTGAATAAACTCTCACTGATGCAAAGCTTTTACATAATCAAACAGAGATAATAAATAGAGTGATCAGCTATACTCATGTGCCAGAGATAATTCCATTTTATACCTATGGCCCCAAATTAATTACTCATACTGATTTGTTTTACTCTCAAAAGTGGCTCTGTTTGGCTTATAAATTATATAGCCATATTCATAATAATATACTGTGCTTCTGGGAGAATTAGGTAAATCAATACAACTAAAATATCTGACAGTAAAGATGTTTATTTTTAATTTTTTCCTTCTCCTTGTCCCTCTTATATTTTCCTCTCTTTCTCTTTTCAACGTGCTTGAGTGGAGATGAACAAGTGGTGGTTGAAAATGGAGGATCCTCAAAAGAGAAGCAGAGAAGTGAGAGTCAAAGAAGCATTTCTTTTTTTTTTTTTTTTTTTTTTTTTTTTTTTGAGAAGGAGTTTCACTGTTGTCACCCAGTCTGGAGTGTAATGGTGGGATCTTGACTCACTGCAACCTCCACCTCCTGGGTTTAAGTGATTCTCTTGCCTCAGCCTCCCAAGTAGCTGGGATTACAGGCACCCGCCAACATACCCAGATAATTTTTGTATTTTTAGTAGAGATGGGGTTTCACCATGTTGGCCAAGCTGGTCTTAAATTCCTGACCTCGGGTGATCCACCTGCCTCGGCCTCCCAAAGTGCTGGGATTACACGTGTGAGCCACCACACCAGGCCCAAAGAAACATTTCTAACAGACAAAAACATAGAAGTGATCAATGAGGTTTGGAGAATGGATATACTTAGCCAGATTAAAAAACACATAACTTTATTTAAGTCTTGGGTATAAGAAAACCCAGGTAGGAGAATGAAGTTATGAGGAGAACTTTAGACACACCCTCCTCAATCCTTTAATACATAGATTTCTGACAGCAGCGGCAATCTTTAGTCACAGATGTGAAAGCATCCTAAAGTCACCATTTATTTCACATGGTTTACATTTCTCTATTTCATATTTGCCTTGTTATTGGTCTTAGAAATTATATAGACAAGGAAATGAGACTTCTAAAGTAGTTTTTATGAAAGTTAACAAGAATCTAAGCAATACTAAAAACCATGAAAATGAAAGACTTGGTACATAAGAAATATATTTTGTTAACAAATAACAGACACAAGGGAATATATCATTTGATGAATAATGTTTCGTTCATTGCAAGTATAGAGGATGAAAAAATTATCATTTTCATTTTGCACTGCATAAAGAAGATACAATTTTAATTTCTCCTCTTTAAAAGCTAGTGTAAAAATAGGGAGTGGTTTTTGCTTTTGGTTTTTGGTTTTTGTTTTTTATTTTGAAATGGAATCTCTCTCTCTCACCCAGGCTAGAGTGTGGAGTGCAGTGGCACGATTTGGCTCGCTGCAGCCTCCGCCTCCTGGGTTCAAGCTATTCTCCTGCCTCAGCCTCCTGAGTCATTGAGATTACAGGTACGCACTACCACACCTGATTAATTTTTGTATTTTTAGTAGAGACAGGGCTTTGCCATGTTGGCCAGGCTGGCCTCAGACTCCTGACCTCAGCTGACTGCCTGCCTCGGCCTCCCAAAATGCTGGGATTACAGGCATGAGCCACTGCGCCCAGAGAGGTAGGGAGATTTTCAAGTTAATGCACATTTACACTACTTGGAGTAAAAACAATATATACCTAAATATTTAGACCATTGCAAAAAAAAAAAAAAAAAAAAAAAAGACATAGGATTTAAAGGGTTGTAAGCATACAAATGTGAAACAAATAAAATTGCAAAGACAAAAGGAAAAAAAAATCATCAAAATGTGGCTTTAGGTTGTCCCTGAAAGAATAATAGATTTTATACATAGAAATATGTAAAGTAGAAGACAAGTAAAACATTTTAGGTAAAAGCAACAAAACAGGGATGACACAGAAAATATTAAAAAAATAAAATGCGGGAAAAGACAGAAAATGTAAACCATTGTGTCCATATGTGATACACGAATATATGATGAATATTTACAAATCAAATTTGCAAATTGGTGAATGGGTTGTTATGAAAGAATTAGTTTTGTCTAAAAGAAAGCAAAATATACATGGGAAGAGACCATTACCAAATTTCATCTTTTTTAGACTACTCTCCTGTGTCTCAGAAGAAAACCAGTGAGAAGTCAAACTTGTGAGTAAATACATATCCCCAGCTAACTTAAAATTTTCAGTGTTTTTGGCCAGGCTCAGTGGCTCACGCCTGTAATCCCAGCACTTTGGGAGGCCGAGGCAGGTGGATCACTTGAGGTCAGGAGTTCAAGACTAGCCTGACCAATATGGTGAAACCCCGTCTTTACTAAAAATACAAAATTAGCTGGCCATGGTGGCATGCAACTGTAGCCCCGGCTACTTGGGAGGCTGAGACAGGAGAATTGCTTGAACCCGGAAGGTGGACGGTGCAGTGAGATGAGATCCTGTCACTGCACTCCAGCCTGGGCAACAGAGTGAGACTCCATCTCAAAAAAAAAAAAAAATTCATTGTTTTTCAAAGCTTATTTTGTAAGGTGTTAAATTTATTTATAATTTATGAAAAAACTTTTAGTGTTGCTTGTGGCATATTTTTGTAAAGTTATTAGGCAGTATCACTGAGAATTTTCCATTTACCATATATTGTTAAATGGATCAGAAATTACCTAGATAAAGACAACATAAACAAAGGTTTAAATATTCAATGGAGGTTTTAAGAGAATATTAAATGTACTTCATGAAATATATAACAATGAAAAATTATTGATGCACTTGAAATGTTGTGAACTCTTGCCAAAATTGCCGTCATGTTTATTATTGTGTAACAAGAATAGTGATTATATAAATCACTTATGTTAAAAATACATACTTTGGAGAATCAGAAACCCCAATTTTTCTGAAAATCATTAAGTAATATAAGTTGGTTTTGTACCATAGCCTATTTGGAATTGGGTTGGTTGGAATTTCTGATGCATTTGCTTTAAAAAATAATGTTACAATGGACAATTAGTTTTGCAGATAGGCATTTATTAAACATAATAAGTAGTAGAACTATAGTATTAAACGTAATAATTCGTACTTTAATGTTGTGAGCTTTGTAAGAAGAAAGGAAGAATTGGAAAAACAGAAAGAGATGTAATAAGTTTTCTTTTCTTTCTTGGGTGCAGTAGCAGAATTATTTTATGTTTAGTGCCCTATCCTCTTCTAGAACCTTGTCACATCTCCTAATGACCTTTTTTTTAAAGGTTTTCATGGAGTTTTCTCTCCAATCACTGAAAAGGGAAACTTTCCTCAAGTGTGCCCAATCCACTCAATACTTAGTAAATTGAAATTTGCATCACTCAGTCTAGCTAAAATTAAGAATTTTGAATTTTCTGAATTTTAAAAGATCTTATGGATCAACCAAATATTGTATCTATTTGGTTGACTTTCAGGCAGCACAACCAAGTCAACAGAAGTGGGCAGACAAAATGAGGAACTATGTTTTCAATCAGAGATACTACTTGCTTGACTCACCTCATGGCCATTAGCCCCCAGCTTGCTCATTTGTAGACTGATAGTAGGTTCTACCAGATCAGCAGAACCAATTGTGCCTTTTTCTTCTCAACTGTGTGTTCAAGACATCACGATAGTAGCTTGATATAGGTCATGGTGGGAGCTCTTACACCACAGCAATGAACAGACCCTGAACATTAGGGCTCATACCTGTTTTTTCTCCCTATCCCAATATAGTTCTAAAATATTTACCAGGATATAACTGACTGGAAGTTACAGTAATAGCAGGTATCTCATAGTCTTGATGTGAAGATAAAATTAGTTAATAATGGAAACGTGCTTAGAAAAGTGCCTGGAAAATAGAAAGCACTATATAAGTGGTTGCTGTTACTAAGTGTCTATTCCTCTTAAAGAATAATTTCTATTTAAAAATTTATTCGTTTCCTTCATGTTGACACACATGGATTTTCTAAAAGGGTAATTTCCCCGCTACATGAAAGAAGACAATGAGTTTTTACCTAGGAGTGATGGAAATGACCTCTCTATCCTTGCTGTGCAGAATGGAAAGACACCTCAGGCCAGGGGTAGAGAATAATGTCAGAAGACCAGTTAGCAGGCATCTGCAGTAACAGAAAAGAAGTATGAGTCTGTGATGGTGGTGACCAGGGCCATTGTGAAAAATGGTAGCGTGTCAACAGATTTGAGTGATTTTAGGAGGTAAAATAATCAATAATAGCAGTGGATTTGCTACTAAGAAGCAGATTCTAGTTCATGGAACTGGAGAGGTGGAAATACTACTTGCTGAGAGAGTGACTAGTAGGAGAATCTTCATCTAGGCATGGCAAGTCTATGATCTCATGTTTGAATATGTCAAAACTGAGACACCTTGGAGATATCCAAGTAATGTTTTGGAATAAGATGATATTTTGCCAAGTATAGTAGGAAAACTCAAAAGCTGAATATAGGCTGGAGTTAAAATAAAAAGAATGTTTAGCATAATGATAGTAAATGAAGCAAAAGGGAGAGATGAAGTTACCTAGGAAAAGGAAAGACTGAATAAACATAGCCTGCAAAAATGGTTCTTGACCACGTTTGTAAAGTAGAACAGGAGGGAATTTAATAAATGCAGCTCTAAACTCAGAACAACTAAACAGAATCTCTTTGGATGGTCCCTGGGCTAAAGCATTTAAAAAACTGTTTAACTTTCCAGATGATACCAAAATGCAACCAAGTTTGAGAATCACTTATCCAGATCTTTTCTAAGAATTTCCACAAAGGAATCTGGCAAGGAGAGAGCTGCAAGGTGGGAGGAAACTATGATAGTAGAGTGCCAGAAAACCGTAATTGTAGAGTCTCAGAAGAGATGTGCTTCAGAAAACAGGGAATAGCCAAGAGTGTTGAACACTGCTAAGACATTGCCACTGGATTTTAGTGGCAAGGAAGTCACTATATCTCAGGGGAAACTTTACTACACAATGATGGGTTCAGTCAGCAGGGTAAGGCTGCTTGTGGAGTGGTTGTTAAGTAGGCATGGGTAACAGTGTTTCTCTTGGAAAAGTTCTGTTGGAAAGGGAAAAGAAAATGATGGGGGTAACTAGAATCAGATTTGGGACAAGGGAGAATTTTTGTTAAGATGCTCAAATATGAGCAGTTTGTGTCTCATCAAGAATAACTCTATTGAGAAGAAAGTATTGAGTGCAGAGAAAACAGATTCTTTAAAAATAGCAAAATGTGTACAAATTGTTGGAGTTTAAGAAGAAAAAGTGGAGATGAAGGACACTTCAATTGAAAGAATGCTTACAGCTATAACAAGAGGTTAATACTGAAGTATGCACTATAAAGCTAACATACAATAGATACTACATAGCAGAGTATGGTCTCAGATCAGAATTTACAATGGAAATATCAGGATGCTTTTAAGGCTCTTGTAGCTTTCAGTCATAGGAAGATATTTTGTTAGTTTTTTTTCTTTTTTTTTTTTTTTTGAGATAGAGTCTCACTCTGTCCCCCAGGCTGGTGTGCAGTGGCATGATCTCAGCTCACTGCAACATCTGCCTCCCTGGCTCAAGTGATTATCCTGCCTCAGCTCCCAAGTAACTGGGATTACGGGCACACACTACCACACCCGGCTAATTTTTTTATTTTTGGTAGAGATGGAGTTTCACCATGTTGGCCAGGCCGGTCTCGAACTCCTGAGCTCAGGTGATCGGCCCCTCTTGGCTTCCCAAAGTGCTGGGATTACAGACTTGAGCCACTGTGCCTGGGCAATATTTTGTTAGTCTTTTAAAGCATGTTTTGTAGAGTGTGAAGTAGAGGGAAAATTATGTGCAGAGGATTTCTTTGGAGAAAGCCATGTGTAGTCCCTGTCTACTAAAAGTGAGTGGTAGGATTGTCCTTCCTACTCCTCTCAAGTTTGGTGAATGGGGCCTTCCATTTAGCTAAGACAAACAATAAACTCTAATATATTTTCCCAGAAAATGGGGGAAATTCATGGAATGATATGCGTCTCATGCTGAGGAAAGTTAAAATCTCCTGAAAACAGCAGAGAAAGGAAAAGAGAACAAGGCTGTGTTTGGGAAACTAATTGTATGACAACAAAAGGAATGGCAAGAAATGAGTAAGCAGAAGGGAAAACCAACCCAACATTATGTTAAGTCCTGCCAAAGAGATTCTCCTTGAAGCGAGAATCTGCCTGTGGAGTGGGTCGCCTGAAATCTGGAGGCTGAGGTCATAGTCCATCAAAGCAGAGGCAATGCCATTGGTGTGGAGGCTGCTGCAAGAGAAACTTCCAAGAGCTGCCCCCAAGTGCACTGTGCAGCTCCAGAGAAGCAAAAACCACATCATCAAGTAAGAACAGTCCAGCCTCCTAACTTTGCTGCCTCCAATGGTGAGGTGAAAACACCCCAGGAAAGGAGATGATGAAAAAAAAATTAAAAATTTGGACAGAGAAAGGCTGCTAATCCATCCAGATCCCAACTCAATGTCCCATCTGCTGCTGGCTCTAATTGGCTTGGACGTGGGTGGGGTGGCCAAGGGGAGAAGTCTTAATTTTGCATATGGATTGATGTGCTAGTTAATATGATTTATTGGAAATGTCTAACTTCCAAATCTATGTTTTTAGAATTAAAGTGAACATAGGATTATTATTTAATAGTGAGAAGAAACATCATTTACTCACCATTGTCTTCATCCAAGAAAAGACAAAGCATACCCCGACAGAAGAAAGTCTAAAGGAAGAGTGAGAGACAAATAAAAAAAAAAGTTTGTATCATATCTTACATGTTATGATTATTCAAACTGTGAGTCACACTGATGTAGGATCCTTTGAAGGTTGGGGAAGCTGAGCAATCTCCTGTGCAACATCATTTTTTTTTCTTTTTCTGTGAACTACAAGGCAAGGTCACCAACTGAGAAAGGAAGTAGTAAAGGGAGTACTTAAGCAGATATTTAAGGACAGTAGATCAGTTCAAAATAGAAGTCACAGAGAATGGTAGTCAGTTACCTTTGCAAATCTGTGTGCTTTTTAAGCAATTTTGAAGGGGCATTCAAAGTTAATGATCATAATTTATAGTAATATCTAGTTGCTTCTCTATGGTTTTCCTCAGTAAACCATCCCTCCTCCTTTAGAAGGAAGATAATTATCATCATCAAGAGTTAGGGTTTGCCAAATTGCAGCAACAAAAGTACATGGCCAAGCTATATAGGCTATAGGTTAATATACTAGAGGTGCTTCTGACATTAGAGATGATAGGTCCCAGTGGGAGTTATTGAACAAACAAACTGGTAAGACAGGAAACTATGATCATATCACCTTTGTCATATGGTTACTTCTGTTTGGAATGTTTTCTATTAGCTGACCTCACAGAACCCAATGGTATTGTCTCAGCTCGGATTCTCAGTTTAAACATTGAATAGAATTGTGTAACTTTCCTTTAGAGCGCTGGTGTTTTTTTCTGCTATTTTACTTTTTTGTGTGATTGTTTAATTGACTTCTCTCCCACTAGACCATAAATGCCATCAAGAAAAACACTTGTCTTTTTGTTTATGTGTTTTTCCTTGTCATTCCATGAAGGAGACCACTAAAAACTGTAGTTGAATCAAATATCAATAATCTGAGATACCGGAAAATTAAGCAATTAATCTACTATGCAAAGATAATTTTTGA